>NC_000008.11:44033744-44228997 GCF_000001405.40 Homo sapiens
AGCATTCTCAGAAACTTCTTTGTGATGTTTGCATCCAGTTCTCAGAGTTGAACATTCCCTTTCATAGAGTAGGTTTGAAACCCTCTTTTTATAGTGTCTGGAAGCGGGCATTTGGAGCGCTTTCAGGCCTATGCTGAAAAAGGAAATATCTACCTATAGAAACTAGACAGAAGCATTCTGAGAATCACGTTGGTGATGTGGGTACTCAACTAACAGTGTTGATCCATTCTTTTGATACAGCAGTTTTGAACCACACTTTTTGTAGAATCTGCAAGTGGATATTTGGATAGCTGTGAGGATTTCCTTGGAAACGAGAATGTCTTCATAGAAAATTTAGACAGAAGCATTCTCAGATCCTTGATTGTGATGTGTGTTCTCCACTAACAGGGTTGAACCTTTCTTTTGACAGAACTGTTTTGAAACATTCTTTTTATAGAATCTGGAAGTGGATATTTGGAAAGCTTTGAGGATTTCGTTGGAAACGGGAATATCTTCAAATAAAATCTAGCAAGAAGCATTCTAAGAAACATCTTAGGGATGTTTACATTCAAGTCACAGAGTTGAACATTCCCTTTCACAGAGCAGGTTTGAAACAATCTTCTCGTACTATCTGGCAGTGGACATTTTGAGCTCTTTGGGGCCTATGCTGAAAAAGGAAATATCTTCCGACAAAAACTAGTCAGAAGCATTCGCAGAATCACGTTTGTGATGTGTGCACTCAACTGTCAGAAGTGAACCTTGGTTTGGAGAGAGCACTTTTGAAACACACTTTTTGTAGAATCTGCAGGTGGATATTTGGCTAGCTTTGAGGATTTCGTTGGAAACGGTAATGTCTTCAAAGAAAATCTAGACAGAAGCATTCTCAGAAACTTCTCTGTGGTGTCTGCATCCAAGTCACAGAATTGAACATCCCCTCACATAGAGCAGTTGTGCAGTACTCTATTTGTAGTATCTCGAAGTGGACATTTGGAGGGCTTTGTAGCCTATCTGGAAAAAGGAAATATCTTCCCATGAATGCGAGATAGAAGTAATCTCAGAAACATGTTTATGCTGTATCTACTCAACTAACTGTGCTGAACATTTCTATTGATAGAGCAGTTTTGAGACACTCTTCTTTTGGAATCTGCAAGTGGATATTTGGAAAGATTTGAGGATTTCGTTGGCAACGGGATTATATATAAAATGTAGACAGCCGCATTCTCAGAAACTTCTTTGTGATGTTTGCATCCAGCTCTCAGAGTTGAACATTCCCTTTCGTAGAGTAGGTTTGAAAACCTCTTTTTATAGTGTCTGGAAGCGGGCATTTGGAGCGCTTTCAGGCCTATGCTGAAAAAGGAAATATCTACCTATAGAAACTAGACAGAAGCATTCTGAGAATCACGTTTGTGATGTGGGTCCTCAACTAACAGTGTTGATTCATTCTTTTGATACAGCAGTTTTGAACCACACTTTTTGTAGAATCTGCAAGTGGATATTTGGATAGCTGTGAGGATTTCGTTGGAAACGGGAATGTCTTCATAGAAAATTTAGACAGAAGCATTCTCAGAACCTGGATTGTGATGTGTGTTCTCCACTAACAGAGTTGAACCTTTCTTTGGACAGAACTGTTTTGAAACATTCTTTTTATAGAATCTGGAAGTGTATATTTGGAAAGCTTTGAGGATTTCGTTGGAAACGGGAATATCTTCAAATCAAATCTAGCCAGAAGCATTCTAAGAAACATCTTAGGGATGTGTACATTCAAGTCACAGAGTTGAACATTCCCCTTTCTCAGAGCAGGTTTGAAACAATCTTCTCGTACTATCTGGCAGTGGACATTTTGAGCTCCTTGGGGCCTATGCTGAAAAAGGAAATATATTCCGACAAAAACTAGACAGAAGCATTCGCAGAATCACGTTTGTGATGTGTGCACTCAACTGTCAGAATTGAACCTTGGTTTGGACAGAGCACTTTTGAAACACTCTTTTTGTAGAATCTGCAGGTGGATATTTGGCTAGCTTTGAGGATTTCGTTGGAAACGGTAATGTCTTCAAAGAAAATCTAGACAGAAGCATTCTCAGAAACAGCGTCGTGATGTTTGCAATCAAGTCACAGAGTTGAACCTTCCGTTTCATAGAGCAGGTTGGAAACACTCTTTTTGTAGTATCTGGAAGTGGACATTTGGAGGGCTTTGTAGCCTATCTGGAAAAAGGAAATATCTTCCCATGAATGCGAGATAGAAGTAATCTCAGAAACATGTTTATGCTGTATCTACTCAACTAACTGTGCTGAACATTTCTATTGATAGAGCAGTTTTGAGACACTCTTCTTTTGGAATCTGCAAGTGGATATTTGGATAGATTTGAGGATTTTGTTGGAAATGGGATTATATATAAAAAGTAGACAGCAGCATTCTCAGAAACTTCTTTGTGATGTTTGCATCCAGCTCTCAGAGTTGAGCATTCCCTTTCATAGAGTAGGTTTGAAACCCTCTTTTTATAGTGTCTGGAAGCGGGCATTTGGAGCGCTTTCAGGCCTATGCTTAAAATAGGAAATATCTACCTACAGAAACTAGACAGAAGCATTCGCAGAATCACGTTTGTGATGTGTGCACTCAACTGTCAGAATTGAACCTTTGTTTGGATAGAGCACTTTTGAAACACTCTTTTTGTAGAATCTGCCGGTGGATATTTGACTAGCTTTGAGGATTTCGTTGGAAACGGTAATGTCTTCAAAGAAAATCTAGACAGAAACATTCTCAGAAACACCTTCGTGATGTTTGCAATCAAGTCACAGAGTTGAAGCTTCCGTTTCGTAGAGCAGGTTGGAGACACTCTTTTTGTAGTATCTGGAAGTGGACATTTGGAGCGCTTTCAGGCCTATGGTGAAGAAGGAAATATCTTCCCATAAAAACGACATAGAAGCTATCTCAGGAACTTTTTTATGATGCATCTAATCAACTAACAGTGTTGAACCTTTGTACTGACAGAGCAGTTTGAAACACTCTTTTTTTGGAATCTGCAAGTGGATATTTGGATCGCTTTCAGGATTTCGTTGGAAACGGGATGCAATATAAAACGTACACAGCAGCATACTCAGAAAATACTTTGCCATATTTCCATTCAAGTCACAGAGTGGAACATTCCCATTCATACAGCAGGTTGGAAACACTCTTTTTGGAATATCTGGAAGTGGACATTTGGAGCGCTTTCTGAACTATGGTGAAAAAGGAAATATCTTCCAATGAAAACAACACAGAAGCATTCTGAGAAAATTGTTTGTGATGTTTTTCCTCAACTAACGGACTTGAACCTTTCGTTTCATACTGTACTTCTGGAACACTCTTTTTGAAGATTCTGCATGCGGATATTTGGATAGCTTTGAGGATTTCGTTGGAAACGGGCTTACATATAAAAATTAGACAGCAGCATTCTCAGAAACTTCTTTGTGGTGTCTGCATTCAAGTCACAGAATTGAAAATCCCCTCACATAGAGCAGTTGTGCAGCACTCTATCTGTAGTATCTCGAAGTGGACATTTGGAGGGCTTTGTAGCCTATCTGGAAAAAGGAAATATCTTCCCATGAATGCGAGATAGAAGTAATCTCAGAAACATGTTTATGCTGTATCTACTCAACTAACTGTGCTGAACATTTCTATTGATAGAGCAGTTTTGAGACCCTCTTCTTTTGGAATCTGCAAGTGGATATTTGGATAGATTTGAGGATTTCGTTGGAAACGGGATTATATATAAAAAGTAGACAGCAGCATTCTCAGAAACTTCTTTGTGATGTTTGCATCCAGCTCTCAGAGTTGAACATTCCCTTTCGTAGAGTAGGTTTGAAACCCTCTTTTTATAGTTTCTGGAAGCGGGCATTTGGAGCGCTTTCAGGCCTATGCTGAAAAAGGAAATATCTACCTCTAGAAACTAGACAGAAGCATTCTGAGAATCACGTTTGTGATGTGGGTACTCAACTAACAGTGTTGATCCATTCTTTTGATACAGCAGTTTTCAACCACACTTTTTGTAGAATCTTCAAGTGGATATTTGGATAGCTGTGAGGATTTCCTTGGAAACGGGAATGCCTTCATAGAAAATTTAGACAGAAGCATTCTCAGAACCTTGATTGTGATGTGTGTTCTCCACTAACAGAGTTGAACCTTTCTTTTGACAGAAGTGTTCTGAAACATTCCTTTTATAGTATCTGGAAGTGGATATTTGGAAAGATTTGAGGATTTCGTTGGAAACGGGAATATCTTCTAATAAAATCTAGCCAGAAGCATTCTAAGAAACATCTTAGGGATGTTTACATTCAAGTCACAGAGTTGAACATTCCCTTTCACAGAGCAGGTTTGAAACAATCTTCTCGTACTATCTGGCAGTGGACATTTTGAGCTCTTTGGGGCCTATGCTGAAAAAGGAAATATCTTCCGACAAAAACTAGACAGAAGCATTCGCAGAATCACGTTTGTGATGTGTGCACTCAACTGTCAGAATTGAACCTTGGTTTGGAGAGAGCACTTTTGAAACACACTTTTTGTAGAATCTGCAGGTGGATATTTGGCTAGCTTTGAGGATTTCGTTGGAAACGGTAATGTCTTCAAAGAAAATCTAGACAGAAGCATTCTCAGAAACTTCTCTGTGGTGTCTGCATCCAAGTCACAGAATTGAACATCCCCTTACATAGAGAAGTTGTGCAGCACTCTATTTGTAGTATCTCGAAGTGGACATTTGGAGGGCTTTGTAGCCTATCTGGAAAAAGGAAATATCTTCCCATGAATGCGAGATAGAAGTAATCTCAGAAACATGTTTATGCTGTATCTACTCAACTAACTGTGCTGAACATTTCTATTGATAGAGCAGTTTTGAGACACTCTTCTTTTGGAATCTGCAAGTGGATATTTCGAAAGATTTGAGGATTTCGTTGGCAACGGGATTATATATAAAAAGTAGACAGCAGCATTCTCAGAAACTTCTTTGTGATGTTTGCATCCAGCTCCCAGAGTTGAACATTCCCTTTCATAGAGTAGGTTTGAAACCCTCTTTTTATAGTGTCTGGAAGCGGGCATTTGGAGCGCTTTCAGGCCTATGCTGAAAAAGGAAATATCTACCTATAGAAACTAGACAGAAGCATTCTGAGAATCACGTTTGTGATGTGGGTACTCAACTAACAGTGTCGATCCATTCTTTTGATACAGCAGTTTTGAACCACACTTTTTGTAGAATCTGCAAGTGGATATTTGGATAGCTGTGAGGATTTCGTTGGAAACGGGAATGTCTTCATAGAAAATTTAGACAGAAGCATTCTCAGAACCTTGATTGTGATGTGTGTTCTCCACTAACAGAGCTGAACCTTTCTTTTGACAGAACTGTTCTGAAACATTCTTTTTATAGAATCTGGAAGTGGATATTTGGAAAGCTTTGAGGATTTCGTTGGAAACGGGAATATCTTCAAATCAAATCTAGCCAGAAGCATTCTAAGAAACAGCTTAGGGATGTTTACATTCAAGTCACAGAGTTGAACATTCCCTTTCACAGAGCAGGTTTGAAACAATCTTCTCGTACTATCTGGCAGTGGACATTTTGAGCTCTTTGGGGCCTATGCTGAAAAAGGAAATATCTTCCGACAAAAACTAGACAGAAGCATTCGCAGAATCACGTTTGTGATGTGTGCACTCAACTGTCAGAATTGAACCTTGGTTTGGAGAGAGCACTTTTGAAACACTCTTTTTGTAGAATCTGCAGGTGGATATTTGGCTAGCTTTGAGGATTTCGTTGGAAACGGTAATGTCTTCAAAGAAAATCTAGACAGAAGCATTCTCAGAAACACCTTCGTGATGTTTGCAATCAAGTCACAGAGTTGAACCTTCCGTTTCATAGAGCAGGTTGGAAACACTCTTTTTGTAGTATCTGGAAGTGGACATTTGGAGGGCTTTGTAGCCTATCTGGAAAAAGGAAATATCTTCCCATGAATGCGAGATAGAAGTAATCTCAGAAACATGTTTATGCTGTATCTACTCAACTAACTGTGCTGAACATTTCTATTGAAAGAGCAGTTTTGAGACACTCTTCTTTTGGAATCTGCAAGTGGATATTTGGATAGATTTGAGGATTTCGTTGGAAACGGGATTATATATAAAAAGTAGACAGCAGCATTCTCAGAAACTTCTTTGTGATGTTTGCATCCAGCTCTCAGAGTTGAACATTCCCTTTCATAGAGTAGGTTGGAAACCCTCTTTTTATAGTGTCTGGAAGCGGGCATTTGGAGCGCTTTCAGGCCTATGCTGAAAAAGGAAATGTCTACCTATAGAAACTAGACAGAAGCATTCTGAGAATCTCGTTTGTGATGTGGGTACTCAACTAACAGTGTTGATCCATTCTATTGATACAGCAGTTTTGAACCACCCTTTTTGTAGAATCTGCAAGTGGATATTTGGATAGCTGTGAGGATTTCTTTGGAAACGGGAATGTCTTCATAGAAAATTTAGACAGAAGAATTCTCAGAAACATCTTTGTGATGTGTGCATTACATTCACAGTATTGAACCTTCTTTCGATAGAGCAGTTTTGAAACTCTCTTTTTGTAGAATTTACAAGTGGATATTTAGAGCAGTTTGAGGCCTATGGTAGAAAAGGAAATATCTTCATATAAAAACTGGACAGAAATATTCTCAGAAACAACTTTGTGAGGTGTGTGTTCAACTCACAGTGTTTAAATTACTTTTGATAGAGCAGTTTTGAAACAATCTTTTTGAACTACTTGCAAATGTATATTTAGAGCGCTTTGAGGCCTATGTTAGAAAAGGAAACATCTTCACATAAAAACTAGACAGAAGCATTCGCAGAATCACGTTTGTGATGTGTGCACTCAACTGTCAGAATTGAACCTTGGTTTGGACAGAGCACTTTTGAAACACTCTTTTTGTAGAATCTGCAGGTGGATATTTGGCTAGCTTTGAGGATTTCGTTGGAAACGGTAATGTCTTCAAAGAAAATCTACACAGAAGCATTCTCAGAAACACCTTCGTGATGTTTGCAATCAAGTCACAGAGTTGAACCTTCCGTTTCATAGAGCAGGTTGGAAACACTCTTTTTGTAGTATCTGGAAGTGGACATTTGGAGGGCTTTGTAGCCTATCTGGAAAAAGGAAATATCTTCCCATGAATGCGAGATAGAAGTAATCTCAGAAACATGTTTATGCTGTATCTACTCAACTAACTGTGCTGAACATTTCTATTGATAGAGCAGTTTTGAGACACTCTTCTTTTGGAATCTGCAAGTGGATATTTGGATAGATTTGAGGATTTCGTTGGAAACGGGATTATATATAAAAAGTAGACAGCAGCATTCTCAGAAACTTCTTTGTGATGTTTGCATCCAGCTCTCAGAGTTGAACATTCCCTTTCATAGAGTAGGTTTGAAACCCTCTTTTTATAGTGTCTGGAAGCGGGCATTTGGAGCGCTTCAGGCCTATGCTGAAAAAGGAAATATCTACCTATAGAAACTAGACAGAAAGCATTCTGAGGAATCACGTTTGTGATGTGGGTACTCAACTAACAGTGTTGATCCATTCTTTTGATACAGCAGTTTTGAACCACACTTTTTGTAGAATCTGCAAGTGGATATTTGGATAGCTGTGAGGATTTCGGTGGAAACGGGAATGTCTTCATAGAAAATTTAGACAGAAGCATTCTCAGAACCTTGATTGTGATGTGTGTTCTCCACTAACAGAGTTGAACCTTTCTTTTGACAGAACTGTTCTGAAACATTCTTTTTATAGAATCTGGAAGTGGATATTTGGAAAGCTTTGAGGATTTCGTTGGAAACGGGAATATCTTCAAATAAAATCTAGCCAGAAGCATTCTAAGAAACATCTTAGGGATGTTTACATTCAAGTCACAGAGTTGAACATTCCCTTTCACAGAGCAGGTTTGAAACAATCTTCTCGTACTATCTGGCAGTGGACATTTTGAGCTCCTTGGGGCCTATGCTGAAAAAGGAAATATCTTCCGACAAAAACTAGACAGAAGCATTCGCAGAATCACGTTTGTGATGTGTGCACTCAACTGTCAGAATTGAACCTTGGTTTGGAGAGAGCACTCTTGAAACACTCTTTTTGTAGAATCTGCAGGTGGATATTTGGCTAGCTTTGAGGATTTCGTTGGAAACGGGAATGTCCTTCAAAGAAAATCTAGACAGAAACATTCTCAGAAACACCTTCGTGATGTTTGCAATCAAGTCACAGAGTTGAACCTTCCGTTTCATAGAGCAGGTTGGAAACACTCTTTTTGTAGTATCTGGAAGTGGACATTTGGAGCGCTTTCATGCCTGTGGTGAAGAAGGAAATATCTTCCCATAAAAACGATATAGAAGCTATCTCAGGAACTTGTTTATGATGCATCTAATCAACTAACAGTGTTGAACCTTTGTACTGACAGAGCAGTTTGAAACACTCTTTTTTGGAATCTGCAAGTGGATATTTGGATCGCTTTGAGGATTTCGTTGGAAACGGGATGCAATATAAAACGTACACAGCAGCATACTCAGAAAATACTTTGCCATATTTCCATTCAAGTCACAGAGTGGAACATTCCCATTCATAGAGAAGGTTGGAAACACTCTTTTTGGAGTATCTGGAAGTGGACATTTGGAGCGCTTTCTGAACTATGGTGGAAAAGGAAATATCTTCCAATGAAAACAAGACAGAAGCATTCTGAGAAACTTATTTGTGATGTGTGTCCTCAACTAACGGACTTGAACCTTTCGTTTCATGCAGTACTTCTGGAACACTCTTTTTGAAGATTCTGCATGCGGATATTTGGATAGCTTTGAGGATTTCGTTGGAAACGGGCTTACATGTAAAAATTAGACAGCAGAATTCTCAGAAACTTCTTTGTGGTGTCTGCATTCAAGTCACAGAATTGAACATCCCCTCACATAGAGCAGTTGTGCAGCACTCTATTTGTAGTATCTGGAAGTGGACATTTGGAGGGCATTGTAGCCTATCTGGAAAAAGGAAATATCTTCCCATGAATGCGAGATAGAAGTAATCTCAGAAACATGTTTATGCTGTATCTACTCAACTAACTGTGCTGAACATTTCTATTGATAGAGCAGTTTTGAGACACTCTTCTTTTGGAATCTGCAAGTGGATATTTGGATAGATTTGAGGATTTCGTTGGAAACGGGATTATATATAAAAAGTAGACAGCAGCATTCTCAGAAACTTCTTTGTGATGTTTGCATCCAGCTCTCAGAGTTGAACATTCCCTTTCATAGAGTAGGTTTGAAACCCTCTTTTTATAGTGTCTGGAAGCGGGCATTTGGAGCGCTTTCAGGCCTATGCTGAAAAAGGAAATATCTACCTATAGAAACTAGACAGAAGCATTCTGAGAATCACGTTTGTGATGTGGGTACTCAACTAACAGTGTTGATCCATTCTTTTGATACAGCAGTTTTGAACCACACTTTTTGTAGAATCTGCAAGTGGATATTTGGATAGCTGTGAGGATTTCGTTGGAAACGGGAATGTCTTCATAGAAAATTTAGACAGAAGCATTCTCAGAACCTTGATTGTGATGTGTGTTCTCCACTAACAGAGTTGAACCTTTCTTTTGACAGAACTGTTCTGAAACATTCTTTTTATAGAATCTGGAAGTGGATATTTGGAAAGCTTTGAGGATTTCGTTGGAAACGGGAATATCTTCAAATAAAATCTAGCCAGAAGCATTCTAAGAAACATCTTAGGGATGTTTACATTCAAGTCACAGAGTTGAACATTCCCCTTTCTCAGAGCAGGTTTGAAACAATCTTCTCGTACTATCTGGCAGTGGACATTTTGAGCTCCTTGGGGCCTATGCTGAAAAAGGAAATATTCTTCCGACAAAAACTAGACAGAAGCATTCGCAGAATCACGTTTGTGATGTGTGCACTCAACTGTCAGAATTGAACCTTGGTTTGGACAGAGCACTTTTGAAACACTCTTTTTGTAGAATCTGCAGGTGGATATTTGGCTAGCTTTGAGGATTTCGTTGGAAACGGTAATGTCTTCAAAGAAAATCTAGACAGAAACATTCTCAGAAACACCTTCATGATGTTTGCAATCAAGTCACAGAGTTGAACCTTCCGTTTCGTAGAGCAGGTTGGAAACACTCTTTTTGTAGTATCTGGAAGTGGACATTTGGAGCGCTTTCAGGCCTATGGTGAAAAAGGAAATATCTTCCCATAAAAACGACATAGAAGCTATCTCAGGAACTTGTTTATGATGCATCCAATCAGCTAACAGTTTTGAACCTTTGTACTGACAGTGCAGTGTGAAACACTCTTTTTTTTGGAATCTGCAAGTGGATATTTGGATCGCTTTGAGGATTTCGTTGGAAACGGGATGCAATATAAAAGTACACAGCAGCATACTCAGAAGATACTTTGCCATATTTCCATTCAAGTCACAGAGTGGAACATTCCCATTCATAGAGAAGGTTGGAAACACTCCTTTTGTAGTATCTGGAAGTGGACATTTGGAGCGCTTTCTGAACTATGGTGAAAAAGGAAATATCTTCCAATGAAAACAAGACAGAAGCATTCTGAGAAACTTATTTGTGACGTGTGTCCTCAACTAACGGACTTGAACCTTTCGTTTCATGCAGTACTTCTGGAACACTCTTTTTGAAGATTCTGCATGCGGATATTTGGATAGCTTTGAGGATTTCTTTGGAAACGGGCTTACATATAAAAATTAGACAGCAGCATTCTCAGAAACTTCTTTGTGGTGTCTGCATTCAAGTCACAGAATTGAACATCCCCTCACATAGAGCAGTTGTGCAGCACTCTATTTGTAGTATCTGGAAGTGGACATTTGGAGGGCTTTGTAGCCTATCTGGAAAAAGGAAATATCTTCCCATGAATGCGAGATAGAAGTAATCTCAGAAACATGTTTATGCTGTATGTACTCAACTAACTGTGCTGAACATTTCTATTGATAGAGCAGTTTTGAGACACTCTTCTTTTGGAATCTGCAAGTGGATATTTGGATAGATTTGAGGATTTCGTTGGAAACGGGATTATATATCAAAAGTAGACAGCAGCATTCTCAGAAACTTCTTTGTGATGTTTGCATCCAGCTCTCAGAGTTGAACATTCCCTTTCATAGAGTAGGTTTGAAACCCTCTTTTTATAGTGTCTGGAAGCGGGCATTTGGAGCGCTTTCAGGCCTATGCTGAAAAAGGAAATATCTACCTATAGAAACTAGACAGAAGCATTCTGAGAATCACGTTTGTGATGTGGGTACTCAACTAACAGTGTTGATCCATTCTTTTGATACAGCAGTTTTGAACCACACTTTTTGTAGAATCTGCAAGTGGATATTTGGATAGCTGTGAGGATTTCGTTGGAAACGGGAATGTCTTCATAGAAAATTTAGACAGAAGCATTCTCAGAACCTTGATTGTGATGTGTGTTCTCCACTAACAGAGTTGAACCTTTCTTTTGACAGAACTGTTCTGAAACATTCTTTTTATAGAATCTGGAAGTGGATATTTGGAAAGCTTTGAGGATTTCGTTGGAAACGGGAATATCTTCAAATCAAATCTAGCCAGAAGCATTCTAAGAAACATCTTAGGGATGTTTACATTCAAGTCACAGAGTTGAACATTCCCTTTCACAGAGCAGGTTTGAAACAATCTTCTCGTACTATCTGGCAGTGGACATTTTGAGCTCCTTGGGGCCTATGCTGAAAAAGGAAATATCTTCCGACAAAAACTAGACAGAAGCATTCGCAGAATCACGTTTGTGATGTGTGCACTCAACTGTCAGAATTGAACCTTGGTTTGGACAGAGCACTTTTGAAACACTCTTTTTGTAGAATCTGCAGGTGGATATTTGGCTAGCTTTGAGGATTTCGTTGGAAACGGTAATGTCTTCAAAGAAAATCTAGACAGAAGCATTCTCAGAAACACCTTCGTGATGTTTGCAATCAAGTCACAGAGTTGAACCTTCCGTTTCATAGAGCAGGTTGGAAACACTCTTTTTGTAGTATCTGGAAGTGGACATTTGGAGGGCTTTGTAGCCTATGTGGAAAAAGGAAATATCTTCCCATGAATGCGAGATAGAAGTAATCTCAGAAACATGTTTATGCTGTATCTACTCAACTAACTGTGCTGAACATTTCTATTGATAGAGCAGTTTTGAGACACTCTTCTTTTGGAATCTGCAAGTGGATATTTGGAGAGATTTGAGGATTTCGTTGGAAACGGGATTATATATAAAAAGTAGACAGCAGCATTCTCAGAAACTTCTTTGTGATGTTTGCATCCAGCTCTCAGAGTTGAACATTCCCTTTCATAGAGTAGGTTTGAAACCCTCTTTTTATAGTGTCTGGAAGCGGGCATTTGGAGCGCTTTCAGGCCTATGCTTAAAATAGGAAATATCTACCTACAGAAACTAGACAGAAGCATACGCCGAATCACGTTTGTGATGTGTGCACTCAACTGTCAGAATTGAACCTTTGTTTGGACAGAGCACTTTTGAAACACTCTTTTTGTAGAATCTGCAGGTGGATATTTGGCTAGCTTTGAGGATTTCGTTGGAAACGGTAATGTCTTCAAAGAAAATCTAGACAGAAACATTCTCAGAAACACCTTCGTGATGTTTGCAATCAAGTCACAGAGTTGAACCTTCCGTTTCATAGAGCAGGTTGGAAACACTCTTTTTGCAGTATCTGGAATTGGACATTTGGAGCGCTTTCAGGCCTATGGTGAAAAAGGAAATATCTTCCCATAAAAACGACATAGAAGCTATCTCAGGAACTTGTTTATGATGCATCCAATCAACTAACAGTGTTGAACCTTTGTACTGACAGAGCAGTGTGAAACACTCTTTTTTTTGGAATCTGCAAGTGGATATTTGGATCGCTTTGAGGATTTCGTTGGAAACGGGATGTAATATAAAACGTACACAGCAGCATACTCAGAAAATACTTTGCCATATTTCCATTCAAGTCACAGAGTGGAACATTCCCATTCATAGAGCAGGTTTCAAACACTTTTTTTGGAGTGTCTGGAAGTGGACATTTGGAGCGCTTTCAGAACTATGGTGAAAAAGGAAATATCTTCCAATGAAAACAAGACAGAAGCATTCTGAGAAACTTATTTGTGATGTGTGTCCTCAACAAACGGACTTGAACCTTTCGTTTCATGCAGTACTTCTGGAACACTCTTTTTGAAGATTCTGCATGCGGATATTTGGATAGCTTTGAGGATTTCGTTGGAAACGGGCTTACATGTAAAAATTAGACAGCAGAATTCTCAGAAACTTCTTTGTGGTGTCTGCGTTCAAGTCACAGAATTGAACATCCCCTCACATAGAGCAGTTGTGCAGCACTCTATTTGTAGTATCTGGAAGTGGACATTTGGAGGGCTTTGTAGCCTATCTGGAAAAAGGAAATA
Source organism: Homo sapiens (assembly GCF_000001405.40). Lineage (NCBI taxonomy): Eukaryota > Metazoa > Chordata > Mammalia > Primates > Hominidae > Homo > Homo sapiens. The sequence goes on from NC_000008.11 coordinate 44,047,164, forward strand.
TCTTCCCATGAATGCGAGATAGAAGTAATCTCAGAAACATGTTTATGCTGTATCTACTCAACTAACTGTGCTGAACATTTCTATTGATAGAGCAGTTTTGAGACACTCTTCTTTTGGAATCTGCAAGTGGATATTTGGATAGATTTGAGGATTTCGTTGGAAACGGGATTATATATAAAAAGTAGACAGCAGCATTCTCAGAAACTTCTTTGTGATGTTTGCATCCAGCTCTCAGAGTTGAACATTCCCTTTCATAGAGTAGGTTTGAAACCCTCTTTTTATAGTGTCTGGAAGCGGGCATTTGGAGCGCTTTCAGGCCTATGCTGAAAAAGGAAATATCTACCTATAGAAACTAGACAGAAGCATTCTGAGAATCACGTTTGTGATGTGGGTACTCAACTAACAGTGTTGATCCATTCTTTTGATACAGCAGTTTTGAACCACACTTTTTGTAGAATCTGCAAGTGGATATTTGGATAGCTGTGAGGATTTCGTTGGAAACGGGAAGGTCTTCATAGAAAATTTAGACAGAAGCATTCTCAGAACCTTGATTGTGATGTGTGTTCTCCACTAACAGAGTTGAACCTTTCTTTTGACAGAACTGTTCTGAAACATTCTTTTTATAGAATCTGGAAGTGGATATTTGGAAAGCTTTGAGGATTTCGTTGGAAACGGGAATATCTTCAAATCAAATCTAGCCAGAAGCATTCTAAGAAACATCTTAGGGATGTTTACATTCAAGTCACAGAGTTGAACATTCCCTTTCACAGAGCAGGTTTGAAACAATCTTCTCGTACTATCTGGCAGTGGACATTTTGAGCTCCTTGGGGCCTATGCTGAAAAAGGAAATATCTTCCGACAAAAACTAGACAGAAGCATTCGCAGAATCACGTTTGTGATGTGTGCACTCAACTGTCAGAATTGAACCTTGGTTTGGACAGAGCACTTTTGAAACACTCTTTTTGTAGAATCTGCAGGTGGATATTTGGCTAGCTTTGAGGATTTCGTTGGAAACGGTAATGTCTTCAAAGAAAATCTAGACAGAAGCATTCTCAGAAACACCTTCGTGATGTTTGCAATCAAGTCACAGAGTTGAACCTTCCGTTTCATAGAGCAGGTTGGAAACACTCTTTTTGTAGTATCTGGAAGTGGACATTTGGAGGGCTTTGTAGCCTATGTGGAAAAAGGAAATATCTTCCCATGAATGCGAGATAGAAGTAATCTCAGAAACATGTTTATGCTGTATCTACTCAACTAACTGTGCTGAACATTTCTATTGATAGAGCAGTTTTGAGACACTCTTCTTTTGGAATCTGCAAGTGGATATTTGGAGAGATTTGAGGATTTCGTTGGAAACGGGATTATATATAAAAAGTAGACAGCAGCATTCTCAGAAACTTCTTTGTGATGTTTGCATCCAGCTCTCAGAGTTGAACATTCCCTTTCATAGAGTAGGTTTGAAACCCTCTTTTTATAGTGTCTGGAAGCGGGCATTTGGAGCGCTTTCAGACCTATGCTTAAAATAGGAAATATCTACCTACAGAAACTAGACAGAAAGCATTCTGAGAATCTCGTTTGTGATGTGGGTACTCAACTAACAGTGTTGATCCATTCTTTTGATACAGCAGTTTTGAACCACACTTTTTGTAGAATCTGCAAGAGGATATTTGGATAGCTGTGAGGATTTCGTTGGAAACGGGAATGTCTTCAAAGAAAATCTAGACAGAAGCATTCTCAGAAACACCTTCGTGATGTTTGCAATCAAGTCACAGAGTTGAACCTTCCGTTTCATAGAGCAGGTTGGAAACACTCTTATTGTAGTATCTGGAAGTGGACATTTGGAGCGCTTTCAGGCCTATGGTGAAAAAGGAAATATCTTCCCATAAAAACGACATAGAAGCTATCTCAGGAACTTGTTTGTGATGCATCTAATCAACTAACAGTGTTGAACCTTTGTACTGACAGAGCAGTTTGAAACACTCTTTTTTTGGAATCTGCAAGTGGATATTTGGATCGCTTTGAGGATTTCGTGGGAAACGGGATGCAATATAAAACGTACACAGCGGCATACTCAGAAAATACTTTGCCATATTTCCATTCAAGTCACAGAGTGGAACATTCCCATTCATGGAGCAGGTTTGAAACACTCTTTTTGGAGTATCTGGAAGTGGACATTTGGAGCGCTTTCTGAACTATGGTGAAAAAGGAAATATCTTCCAATGAAAACAAGACAGAAGCATTCTGAGAAACTTATTTGTGATGTGTGTCCTCAACAAACGGACTTGAACCTTTCGTTTCATGCAGTACTTCTGGAACACTCTTTTTGAAGATTCTGCATGCGGATATTTGGATTGCTTTGAGGATTTCGTTGGAAACGGGCTTACATGTAAAAATTAGACAGCAGCATTCTCAGAAACTTCTTTGTGGTGTCTGCATTCAAGTCACAGAATTGAACTTCACCTCACATAGAGCAGTTGTGCAGCACTCTATTTGTAGTATCTGGAAGTGGACATTTGGAGGGCTTTGTAGCCTATCTGGAAAAAGGAAATATCTTCCCATGAATGCGAGATAGTAGTAATCTCAGAAACATGTTTATGCTGTATCTACTCAACTAACTGTGCTGAACATTTCTATTGATAGAGCAGTTTTGAGACACTCTTCTTTTGGAATCTGCAAGTGGATATTTGGATAGATTTGAGGATTTCGTTGGAAACGGGATTATATATAAAAAGTAGACAGCAGCATTCTCAGAAACTTCTTTGTGATGTTTGCATCCAGCTCTCAGAGTTGAACATTCCCTTTCATAGAGTAGGTTTGAAACCCTCTTTTTATAGTGTCTGGAAGCGGGCATTTGGAGCGCTTTCAGGCCTATGCTGAAAAAGGAAATATCTACCTATAGAAACTAGACAGAAGCATTCTGAGAATCACGTTTGTGATGTGGGTACTCAACTAACAGTGTTGATCCATTCTTTTGATACAGCAGTTTTGAACCACACTTTTTGTAGAATCTGCAAGTGGATATTTGGATAGCTGTGAGGATTTCGTTGGAAACGGGAATGTCTTCATAGAAAATTTAGACAGAAGCATTCTCAGAACCTTGATTGTGATGTGTGTTCTCCACTAACAGAGTTGAACCTTTCTTTTGACAGAACTGTTCTGAAACATTCTTTTTATAGAATCTGGAAGTGGATATTTGGAAAGCTTTGAGGATTTCGTTGGAAACGGGAATATCTTCAAATAAAATCTAGCCAGAAGCATTCTAAGAAACATCTTAGGGATGTTTACATTCAAGTCACAGAGTTGAACATTCCCTTTCACAGAGCAGGTTTGAAACAATCTTCTCGTACTATCTGGCAGTGGACATTTTGAGCTCCTTGGGGCCTATGCTGAAAAAGGAAATATCTTCCGACAAAAACTAGACAGAAGCATTCGCAGAATCACGTTTGTGATGTGTGCACTCAACTGTCAGAATTGAACCTTGGTTTGGACAGAGCACTTTTGAAACACTCTTTTTGTAGAATCTGCAGGTGGATATTTGGCTAGCTTTGAGGATTTCGTTGGAAACGGTAATGTCTTCAAAGAAAATCTAGACAGAAGCATTCTCAGAAACACCTTCGTGATGTTTGCAATCAAGTCACAGAGTTGAACCTTCCGTTTCATAGAGCAGGTTGGAAACACTCTTTTTGTAGTATCTGGAAGTGGACATTTGGAGGGCTTTGTAGCCTATGTGGAAAAAGGAAATATCTTCCCATGAATGCGAGATAGAAGTAATCTCAGAAACATGTTTATGCTGTATCTACTCAACTAACTGTGCTGAACATTTCTATTGATAGAGCAGTTTTGAGACACTCTTCTTTTGGAATCTGCAAGTGGATATTTGCATAGATTTGAGGATTTCTTTGGAAACGGGATTATATATAAAAAGTAGACAGCAGCATTCTCAGAAACTTCTTTGTGATGTTTGCATCCAGCTCTCAGAGTTGAGCATTCCCTTTCATAGAGTAGGTTTGAAACCCTCTTTTTATAGTGTCTGGAAGCGGGCATTTGGAGCGCTTTCAGGCCTATGCTTAAAATAGGAAATATCTACCTACAGAAACTAGACAGAAGCATTCTGAGAATCACGTTTGTGATGTGGGTACTCAACTAACAGTGTTGATCCATTCTTTTGATACAGCAGTTTTGAACCACACTTTTTGTAGAATCTGCAAGAGGATATTTGGATAGCTGTGAGGATTTCGTTGGAAACGGGAATGTCTTCAAAGAAAATCTAGACAGAAGCATTCTCAGAAACACCTTCGTGATGTTTGCAATCAAGTCACAGAGTTGAACCTTCCGTTTCATAGAGTAGGTTGGAAACACTCTTATTGTAGTATCTGGAAGTGGACATTTGGAGCGCTTTCAGGCCTATGGTGAAAAAGGAAATATCTTCCCATAAAAACGACATAGAAGCTATCTCAGGAACTTGTTTATGATGCATCTAATCAACTAACAGTGTTGAACCTTTGTACTGACAGAGCAGTTTGAAACACTCTTTTTTTGGAATCTGCAAGTGGATATTTGGATCGCTTTGAGGATTTCGTTGGAAACGGGATGCAATATAAAACGTACACAGCAGCATACTCAGAAAATACTTTGCCATATTTCCACTCAAGTCACAGAGTGGAACATTCCCATTCATAGAGCAGGTTGGAAACACTCTTTTTGTAGTATCTGGAAGTGGACATTTGGAGCGCTTTCTTACCTGTGGTGAAAAAGGAAATATCTTCCCATAAAAACAAGACAGAAGCATTCTGAGAAACTTATTTGTGATGTGTGTCCTCAACTAACGGACTTGAACCTTTCGTTTCATGCAGTACTTCTGGAACACTCTTTTTGAAGATTCTGCATGCGGATATTTGGATAGCTTTGAGGATTTCTTTGGAAACGGGCTTACATATAAAAATTAGACAGCAGCATTCTCAGAAACTTCTTTGTGGTGTCTGCATTCAAGTCACAGAATTGAACATCCCCTCACATAGAGCAGTTGTGCAGCACTCTATTTGTAGTATCTCGAAGTGGACATTTGGAGGGCTTTGTAGCCTATCTGGAAAAAGGAAATATCTTCCCATGAATGTGAGATAGAAGTAATCTCAGAAACATGTTTATGCTGTATCTACTCAACTAACTGTGCTGAACATTTCTATTGATAGAGCAGTTTTGAGACACTCTTCTTTTGGAATCTGCAAGTGGATATTTGGATAGATTTGAGGATTTCGTTGGAAACGGGATTATATATCAAAAGTAGACAGCAGCATTCTCAGAAACTTCTTTGTGATGTTTGCATCCAGCTCTCAGAGTTGAACATTCCCTTTCATAGAGTAGGTTTGAAACCCTCTTTTTATAGTGTCTGCAAGCGGGCATTTGGAGCGCTTTCAGGCCTATGCTTAAAATAGGAAATATCTACCTACAGAAACTAGACAGAAGCATTCTGAGAATCACGTTTGTGATGTGGGTACTCAACTAACAGTGTTGATCCATTCTTTTGATACAGCAGTTTTGAACCACACTTTTTGTAGAATCTGCAAGAGGATATTTGGATAGCTGTGAGGATTTCGTTGGAAACGGGAATGTCTTCAAAGAAAATCTAGACAGAAGCATTCTCAGAAACACCTTCGTGATGTTTGCAATCAAGTCACAGAGTTGAACCTTCCGTTTCATAGAGCAGGTTGGAAACACTCTTATTGTAGTATCTGGAAGTGGACATTTGGAGCGCTTTCAGGCCTATGGTGAAAAAGGAAATATCTTCCCATAAAAACGACATAGAAGCTATCTCAGGAACTTGTTTATGATGCATCTAATCAACTAACAGTGTTGAACCTTTGTACTGACAGAGCACTTTGAAACACTCTTTTTTTGGAATCTGCAAGTGGATATTTGGATCGCTTTGAGGATTTCGTTGGAAACGGGATGCAATATAAAACGTACACAGCAGCATACTCAGAAAATACTTTGCCATATTTCCATTCAAGTCACAGAGTGGAACATTCCCATTCATAGAGCAGGTTTGAAACACTCTTTTTGGAGTATCTGGAAGTGGACATTTGGAGCGCTTTCTGAACTATGGTGAAAAAGGAAATATCTTCCAATGAAAACAAGACAGAAGCATTCTGAGAAACTTCTTTGTGATGTGTGTCCTCAACAAACGGACTTGAACCTTTCGTTTCATGCAGTACTTCTGGAACACTCTTTTTGAAGATTCTGCATGCGGATATTTGGATAGCTTTGAGGATTTCGTTGGAAACGGGCTTACATGTAAAAATTAGACAGCAGCATTCTCAGAAACTTCTTTGTGGTGTCTGCATTCAAGTCACAGAATTGAACTTCCCCTCACATAGAGCAGTTGTGCAGCACTCTATTTGTAGTATCTGGAAGTGGACATTTGGAGGGCTTTGTAGCCTATCTGGAAAAAGGAAATATCTTCCCATGAATGCGAGATAGAAGTAATCTCAGAAACATGTTTATGCTGTATCTACTCAACTAACTGTGCTGAACATTTCTATTGATAGAGCAGTTTTGAGACACTCTTCTTTTGGAATCTGCAAGTGGATATTTGGATAGATTTGAGGATTTCGTTGGAAACGGGATTATATATCAAAAGTAGACAGCAGCATTCTCAGAAACTTCTTTGTGATGTTTGCATCCAGCTCTCAGAGTTGAACATTCCCTTTCATAGAGTAGGTTTGAAACCCTCTTTTTATAGTGTCTGGAAGCGGGCATTTGGAGCGCTTTCAGGCCTATGCTGAAAAAGGAAATATCTACCTATAGAAACTAGACAGAAGCATTCTGAGAATCACGTTTGTGATGTGGGTACTCAACTAACAGTGTTGATCCATTCTTTTGATACAGCAGTTTTGAACCACACTTTTTGTAGAATCTGCAAGTGGATATTTGGATAGCTGTGAGGATTTCGTTGGAAACGGGAATGTCTTCATAGAAAATTTAGACAGAAGCATTCTCAGAACCTTGATTGTGATGTGTGTTCTCCACTAACAGAGTTGAACCTTTCTTTTGACAGAACTGTTCTGAAACATTCTTTTTATAGAATCTGGAAGTGGATATTTGGAAAGCTTTGAGGATTTCGTTGGAAACGGGAATATCTTCAAATAAAATCTAGCCAGAAGCATTCTAAGAAACATCTTAGGGATGTTTACATTCAAGTCACAGAGTTGAACATTCCCTTTCACAGAGCAGGTTTGAAACAATCTTCTCGTACTATCTGGCAGTGGACATTTTGAGCTCTTTGGGGCCTATGCTGAAAAAGGAAATATCTTCCGACAAAAACTAGACAGAAGCATTCGCAGAATCACGTTTGTGATGTGTGCACTCAACTGTCAGAATTGAACCTTGGTTTGGAGAGAGCACTTTTGAAACACTCTTTTTGTAGAATCTGCAGGTGGATATTTGGCTAGCTTTGAGGATTTCGTTGGAAACGGTAATGTCTTCAAAGAAAATCTAGACAGAAGCATTCTCAGAAACACCTTCGTGATGTTTGCAATCAAGTCACAGAGTTGAACCTTCCGTTTCATAGAGCAGGTTGGAAACACTCTTTTTGTAGTATCTGGAAGTGGACATCTGGAGCGCTTTCAGGCCTATGGTGAAAAAGGAAATATCTTCCCAGAAAAACGATATAGAAGTAATCTCAGAAACATGTTTATGCTGTATCTACTCAACTAACTGTGCTGAACATTTCTATTGATAGAGCAGTTTTGAGACACTCTTCTTTTGGAATCTGCAAGTGGATATTTGGATAGATTTGAGGATTTCGTTGGAAACGGGATTATATATAAAAAGTAGACAGCAGCATTCTCAGAAACTTCTTTGTGATGTTTGCATCCAGCTCTCAGAGTTGAACATTCCCTTTCATAGAGTAGGTTTGAAACCCTCTTTTTATAGTGTCTGGAAGCGGGCATTTGGAGCGCTTTCAGGCCTATGCTGAAAAAGGAAATATCTACCTATAGAAACTAGACAGAAGCATTCTGAGAATCACGTTTGTGATGTGGGTACTCAACTAACAGTGTTGATCCATTCTTTTGATACAGCAGTTTTGAACCACACTTTTTGTAGAATCTGCAAGTGGATATTTGGATAGCTGTGAGGATTTCGTTGGAAACGGGAATGTCTTCATAGAAAATTTAGACAGAAGCATTCTCAGAACCTTGATTGTGATGTGTGTTCTCCACTAACAGTAGTTGAACCTTTCTTTTGACAGAACTGTTCTGAAACATTCTTGTTATAGAATCTGGAAGTGGATATTTGGAAAGCTTTGAGGATTTCGTTGGAAACGGGAATATCTTCAAATCAAATCTAGCCAGAAGCATTCTAAGAAACATCTTAGGGATGTTTACATTCAAGTCACAGAGTTGAACATTCCCTTTCACAGAGCAGGTTTGAAACAATCTTCTCGTACTATCTGGCAGTGGACATTTTGAGCTCCTTGGGGCCTATGCTGAAAAAGGAAATATCTTCCGACAAAAACTAGACAGAAGCATTCGCAGAATCACGTTTGTGATGTGTGCACTCAACTGTCAGAATTGAACCTTGGTTTGGACAGAGCACTTTTGAAACACTCTTTTTGTAGAATCTGCAGGTGGATATTTGGCTAGCTTTGAGGATTTCGTTGGAAACGGTAATGTCTTCAAAGAAAATCTAGACAGAAGCATTCTCAGAAACACCTTCGTGATGTTTGCAATCAAGTCACAGAGTTGAACCTTCCGTTTCATAGAGCAGGTTGGAAACACTCTTTTTGTAGTATCTGGAAGTGGACATTTGGAGGGCTTTGTAGCCTATCTGGAAAAAGGAAATATCTTCCCATGAATGCGAGATAGAAGTAATCTCAGAAACATGTTTATGCTGTATCTACTCAACTAACTGTGCTGAACATTTCTATTGATAGAGCAGTTTTGAGACACTCTTCTTTTGGAATCTGCAAGTGGATATTTGGATAGATTTGAGGATTTCGTTGGAAACGGGATTATATATAAAAAGTAGACAGCAGCATTCTCAGAAACTTCTTTGTGATGTTTGCATCCAGCTCTCAGAGTTGAGCATTCCCTTTCATAGAGTAGGTTTGAAACCCTCTTTTTATAGTGTCTGGAAGCGGGCATTTGGAGCGCTTTCAGGCCTATGCTTAAAATAGGAAATATCTACCTACAGAAACTAGACAGAAGCATTCTGAGAATCACGTTTGTGATGTGGGTACTCAACTAACAGTGTTGATCCATTCTTTTGATACAGCAGTTTTGAACCACACTTTTTGTAGAATCTGCAAGAGGATATTTGGATAGCTGTGAGGATTTCGTTGGAAACGGGAATGTCTTCAAAGAAAATCTAGACAGAAGCATTCTCAGAAACACCTTCGTGATGTTTGCAATCAAGTCACAGAGTTGAACCTTCCGTTTCATAGAGCAGGTTGGAAACACTCTTATTGTAGTATCTGGAAGTGGACATTTGGAGCGCTTTCAGGCCTATGGTGAAAAAGGAAATATCTTCCCATAAAAACGACATAGAAGCTATCTCAGGAACTTGTTTATGATGCATCTAACCAACTAACAGTGTTGAACCTTTGTACTGACAGAGCAGTTTGAAACACTCTTTTTTTGGAATCTGCAAGTGGATATTTGGATCGCTTTGAGGATTTCGTTGGAAACGGGATGCAATATAAAACGTACACAGCAGCATACTCAGAAAATACTTTGCCATATTTCCATTCAAGTCACAGAGTGGAACATTCCCATTCATAGAGCAGGTTGGAAACACTCTTTTTGGAGTATCTGGAAGTGGACATTTGGAGCGCTTTCTGAACTATGGTGAAAAAGGAAATATCTTCCAATGAAAACAAGACAGAAGCATTCTGAGAAACTTATTTGTGATGTGTGTCCTCAACAAACGGACTTGAACCTTTCGTTTCATGCAGTACTTCTGGAACACTCTTTTTGAAGATTCTGCATGCGGATATTTGGATAGCTTTGAGAATTTCGTTGGAAACGGGCTTACATGTAAAAATTAGACAGCAGCATTCTCAGAAACTTCTTTGTGGTGTCTGCATTCAAGTCACAGAATTGAACTTCCCCTCACATAGAGCAGTTGTGCAGCACTCTATTTGTAGTATCTGGAAGTGGACATTTGGAGGGCTTTGTAGCCTATCTGGAAAAAGGAAATATCTTCCCATGAATGCGAGATAGAAGTAATCTCAGAAACATGTTTATGCTGTATCTACTCAACTAACTGTGCTGAACATTTCTATTGATAGAGCAGTTTTGAGACACTCTTCTTTTGGAATCTGCAAGTGCATATTTGGATAGATTTGAGGATTTCGTTGGAAACGGGATTATATATAAAAAGTAGACAGCAGCATTCTCAGAAACTTCTTTGTGATGTTTGCATCCAGCTCTCAGAGTTGAACATTCCCTTTCATAGAGTAGGTTTGAAACCCTCTTTTTATAGTGTCTGGAAGCGGGCATTTGGAGCGCTTTCAGGCCTATGCTTAAAATAGGAAATATCTACCTACAGAAACTAGACAGAAGCATTCTGAGAATCACGTTTGTGATGTGGGTACTCAAACTAACAGTGTTGATCCATTCTTTTGATACAGCAGTTTTGAACCACACTTTTTGTAGAATCTGCAAGTGGATATTTGGATAGCTGTGAGGATTTCCTTGGAAACGGGAATGCCTTCATAGAAAATTTAGACAGAAGCATTCTCAGAAACACCTTCGTGATGTTTGCAATCAAGTCACAGAGTTGAACCTTCCGTTTCATAGAGCAGGTTGGAAACACTCTTATTGTAGTATCTGGAAGTGGACATTTGGAGCGCTTTCAGGCCTATGGTGAAAAAGGAAATATCTTCCCATAAAAACGACATAGAAGCTATCTCAGGAACTTGTTTATGATGCATCTAATCAACTAACAGTGTTGAACCTTTGTACTAACAGAGCAGTTTGAAACACTCTTTTTTTGGAATCTGCAAGTGGATATTTGGATCGCTTTGAGGATTTCGTTGGAAACGGGATGCAATATAAAACGTACACAGCAGCATACTCAGAAAATACTTTGCCATATTTCCATTCAAGTCACAGAGTGGAACATTCCCATTCATAGAGCAGGTTGAAAACACTCTTTTTGGAGTATCTGGAAGTGGACATTTGGAGCGCTTTCTGAACTATGGTGAAAAAGGAAATATCTTCCAATGAAAACAAGACAGAAGCATTCTGAGAAACTTATTTGTGATGTGTGTCCTCAACAAACGGACTTGAAACTTTCGTTTCATGCAGTACTTCTGGAACACTCTTTTTGAAGATTCTGCATGCGGATATTTGGATAGCTTTGAGGATTTCGTTGGAAACGGTCTTACATGTAAAAATTAGACAACAGCATTCTCAGAAACTTCTTTGTGGTGTCTGCATTCAAGTCACAGAATTGAACTTCCCCTCACATAGAGCAGTTGTGCAGCACTCTATTTGTAGTATCTGGAAGTGGACATTTGGTGGGCTTTGTAGCCTATCTGGAAAAAGGAATTATCTTCCCATGAATGCGAGATAGAAGTAATCTGAGAAACATGTTTATGCTGTATCTACTCAACTAACTGTGCTGAACATTTCTATTGATAGAGCAGTTTTGAGACACTCTTCTTTTGGAATCTGCAAGTGGATATTTGGATAGATTTGAGGATTTCGTTGGAAACGGGATTATATATAAAAAGTAGACAGCAGCATTCTCAGAAACTTCTTTGTGATGTTTGCATCCAGCTCTCAGAGTTGAACATTCCCTTTCATAGAGTAGGTTTGAAACCCTCTTTTTATAGTGTCTGGAAGCGGGCATTTGGAGCGCTTTCAGGCCTATGCTTAAAATAGGAAATATCTACCTACAGAAACTAGACAGAAGCATTCTGAGAATCACGTTGGTGATGTGGGTACTCAACTAACAGTGTTGATCCATTCTTTTGATACAGCAGTTTTGAACCACACTTTTTGTAGAATCTGCAAGTGGATACTTGGATAGCTGTGAGGATTTCGTTGGAAACGGGAATGTCTTCATAGAAAATTTAGACAGGAAAGCATTCTCAGAACCTTGATTGTGATGTGTGTTCTCCACTAACAGAGTTGAACCTTTCTTTTGACAGAACTGTTCTGAAACATTCTTTTTATAGAATCTGGAAGTGGATATTTGGAAAGCTTTGAGGATTTCGTTGGAAACGGGAATATCTTCAAATCAAATCTAGCCAGAAGCATTCTAAGAAACATCTTAGGGATGTTTACATTCAAGTCACAGAGTTGAACATTCCCTTTCACAGCAGCAGGTTTGAAACAATCTTCTCGTACTATCTGGCAGTGGACATTTTGAGCTCCTTGGGGCCTATGCTGAAAAAGGAAATATCTTCCGACAAAAACTAGACAGAAGCATTCGCAGAATCACGTTTGTGATGTGTGCACTCAACTGTCAGAATTGAACCTTTGTTTGGACAGAGCACTTTTGAAACTCTCTTTGTAGAATCTGCAGGTGGATATTTGGCTAGCTTTGAGGATTTCTTTGGAAACGGTAATGTCTTCGAAGAAAATCTAGACAGAAACATCCTCAGAAACACCTTCGTGATGTTTGCAATCAAGTCACAGAGTTGAACCTTCCGTTTCATAGAGCAGGTTGGAAACACTCTTATTGTAGTATCTGGAAGTGGACATTTGGAGCGCTTTCAGGCCTATGGTGTAAAAGGAAATATCTTCCCATAAAAGCGACATAGAAGCTATCTCAGGAACTTGTTTATGATGCATCTAATCAACTAACAGTGTTGAACCTTTGTACTGACAGAGCAGTATGAAACACTCTTTTTTTGGAATCTGCAAGTGGATATTTGGATCGCTTTGAGGATTTCGTTGGAAACGGGATGCAATATAAATCGCACACAGCAGCATACTCAGAAAATACTTTGCCATATTTCCATTCAAGTCACAGAGTGGAACATTCCCATTCATAGAGCAGGTTGGAAACACTCTTTTTGGAGTATCTGGAAGTGGACATTTGGAGCGCTTTCTGAACTATGGTGGAAAAGGAAATATCTTCCAATGAAAACAAGACAGAAGCATTCTGAGAAACTTATTTGTGATGTGTGTCCTCAACAAACGGACTTGAACCTTTCGTTTCATGCAGTACTTCTGGAACACTCTTTTTGAAGATTCTGCATGCGGATATTTGGATAGCTTTGAGGATTTCGTTGGAAACGGGCTTACATGTAAAAATTAGACAGCAGCATTCTCAGAAACTTCTTTGTGGTGTCTGCATTCAAGTCACAGAATTGAACTTCCCCTCACATAGAGCAGTTGTGCAGCACTCTATTTGTAGTATCTGGAAGTGGACATTTGGAGGGCTTTGTAGCCTATCTGGAAAAAGGAAATATCTTCCCATGAATGCGAGATAGAAGTAATCTCAGAAACATGTTTATGCTGTATCTACTCAACTAACTGTGCTGAACATTTCTATTGATAGAGCAGTTTTGAGACACTCTTCTTTTGGAATCTGCAAGTGGATATTTGGATAGATTTGAGGATTTCGTTGGAAACGGGATTATATATAAAAAGTAGACAGCAGCATTCTCAGAAACTTCTTTGTGATGTTTGCATCCAGCTCTCAGAGTTGAACATTCCCTTTCATAGAGTAGGTTTGAAACCCTCTTTTTATAGTGTCTGGAAGCGGGCATTTGGAGCGCTTTCAGGCCTGTGCTGAAAAAGGAAATATCTACCTATAGAAACTAGACAGAAGCATTCTGAGAATCACGTTTGTGATGTGGGTACTCAACTAACAGTGTTGATCCATTCTTTTGATACAGCAGTTTTGAACCACACTTTTTGTAGAATCTGCAAGTGGATATTTGGATAGCTGTGAGGATTTCGTTGGAAACGGGAATGTCTTCATAGAAAATTTAGACAGAAGCATTCTCAGAACCTTGATTGTGATGTGTGTTCTCCACTAACAGAGTTGAACCTTTCTTTTGACAGAACTGTTCTGAAACATTCTTTTTATAGAATCTGGAAGTGGATATTTGGAAAGCTTTGAGGATTTCGTTGGAAACGGGAATATCTTCAAATCAAATCTAGCCAGAAGCATTCTAAGAAACATCTTAGGGATGTTTACATTCAAGTCACAGAGTTGAACATTCCCTTTCACAGAGCAGGTTTGAAACAATCTTCTCGTACTATCTGGCAGTGGACATTTTGAGCTCCTTGGGGCCTATGCTGAAAAAGGAAATATCTTCCGACAAAAACTAGACAGAAGCATTCGCAGAATCACGTTTGTGATGTGTGCACTCAACTGTCAGAATTGAACCTTGGTTTGGACAGAGCACTTTTGAAACACTCTTTTTGTAGAATATGCAGGTGGATATTTGGCTAGCTTTGAGGATTTCGTTGGAAACGGTAATGTCTTCAAAGAAAATCTAGACAGAAGCATTCTCAGAAACACCTTCGTGATGTTTGCAATCAAGTCACAGAGTTGAACCTTCCGTTTCATAGAGCAGGTTGGAAACACTCTTTTTGTAGTATCTGGAAGTGGACATTTGGAGGGCTTTGTAGCCTATCTGGAAAAAGGAAATATCTTCCCATGAATGCGAGATAGAAGTAATCTCAGAAACATGTTTATGCTGTATCTACTCAACTAACTGTGCTGAACATTTCTATTGATAGAGCAGTTTTGAGACACTCTTCTTTTGGAATCTGCAAGTGGATATTTGGATAGATTTGAGGATTTCGTTGGAAACGGGATTATATACAAAAAGTAGACAGCAGCATTCTCAGAAACTTCTTTGTGATGTTTGCATCCAGCTCTCAGAGTTGAGCATTCCCTTTCATAGAGTAGGTTTGAAACCCTCTTTTTATAGTGTCTGGAAGCGGGCATTTGGAGCGCTTTCAGGCCTATGCTTAAAATAGGAAATATCTACCTACAGAAACTAGACAGAAGCATTCTGAGAATCACGTTTGTGATGTGGGTACTCAACTAACAGTGTTGATCCATTCTTTTGATACAGCAGTTTTGAACCACACTTTTTGTAGAATCTGCAAGAGGATATTTGGATAGCTGTGAGGATTTCGTTGGAAACGGGAATGTCTTCAAAGAAAATCTAGACAGAAGCATTCTCAGAAACACCTTCGTGATGTTTGCAATCAAGTCACAGAGTTGAACCTTCCGTTTCATAGAGTAGGTTGGAAACACTCTTATTGTAGTATCTGGAAGTGGACATTTGGAGCGCTTTCAGGCCTATGGTGAAAAAGGAAATATCTTCCCATAAAAACGACATAGAAGCTATCTCAGGAACTTGTTTATGATGCATCTACTCAACTAACAGTGTTGAACCTTTGTACTGACAGAGCAGTTTGAAACACTCTTTTTTTGGAATCTGCAAGTGGATATTTGGATCGCTTTGAGGATTTCGTTGGAAACGGGATGCAATATAAAACGTACACAGCAGCATACTCAGAAAATACTTTGCCATATTTCCATTCAAGTCACAGAGTGGAACATTCCCATTCATAGAGCAGGTTGGAAACACTCTTTTTGGAGTATCTGGAAGTGGACATTTGGAGCGCTTTCTGAACTATGGTGAAAAAGGAAATATCTTCCAATGAAAACAAGACAGAAGCATTCTGAGAAACTTATTTGTGATGTGTGTCCTCAACAAACGGACTTGAACCTTTCGTTTCATGCAGTACTTCTGGAACACTCTTTTTGAAGATTCTGCATGCGGATATTTGGATAGCTTTGAGGATTTCGTTGGAAACGGGCTTACATGTAAAAATTAGACAGCAGCATTCTCAGAAACTTCTTTGTGGTGTCTGCATTCAAGTCACAGAATTGAACATCCCCTCACATAGAGCAGTTGTGCAGCACTCTATTTGTAGTATCTGGAAGTGGACATTTGGAGGGCTTTGTAGCCTATCTGGAAAAAGGAAATATCTTCCCATGAATGCGAGATAGAAGTAATCTCAGAAACATGTTTATGCTGTATCTACTCAACTAACTGTGCTGAACATTTCTATTGATAGAGCAGTTTTGAGACACTCTTCTTTTGGAATCTGCAAGTGGATATTTGGATAGATTTGAGGATTTCGTTGGAAACGGGATTATATATCAAAAGTAGACAGCAGCATTCTCAGAAACTTCTTTGTGATGTTTGCATCCAGCTCTCAGAGTTGAACATTCCCTTTCATAGAGTAGGTTTGAAACCCTCTTTTTATAGTGTCTGGAAGCGGGCATTTGGAGCGCTTTCAGGCCTATGCTGAAAAAGGAAATATCTACCTATAGAAACTAGACAGAAGCATTCTGAGAATCACGTTTGTGATGTGGGTACTCAACTAACAGTGTTGATCCATTCTTTTGATACAGCAGTTTTGAACCACACTTTTTGTAGAATCTGCAAGTGGATATTTGGATAGCTGTGAGGATTTCGTTGGAAACGGGAATGTCTTCATAGAAAATTTAGACAGAAGCATTCTCAGAACCTTGATTGTGATGTGTGTTCTCCACTAACAGAGTTGAACCTTTCTTTTGACAGAACTGTTCTGAAACATTCTTTTTATAGAATCTGGAAGTGGATATTTGGAAAGCTTTGAGGATTTCGTTGGAAACGGGAATATCTTCAAATCAAATCTAGCCAGAAGCATTCTAAGAAACATCTTAGGGATGTTTACATTCAAGTCACAGAGTTGAACATTCCCTTTCACAGAGCAGGTTTGAAACAATCTTCTCGTACTATCTGGCAGTGGACATTTTGAGCTCCTTGGGGCCTATGCTGAAAAAGGAAATATCTTCCGACAAAAACTAGACAGAAGCATTCGCAGAATCACGTTTGTGATGTGTGCACTCAACTGTCAGAATTGAACCTTGGTTTGGACAGAGCACTTTTGAAACACTCTTTTTGTAGAATCTGCAGGTGGATATTTGGCTAGCTTTGAGGATTTCGTTGGAAACGGTAATGTCTTCAAAGAAAATCTAGACAGAAGCATTCTCAGAAACACCTTCGTGATGTTTGCAATCAAGTCACAGAGTTGAACCTTCCGTTTCATAGAGCAGGTTGGAAACACTCTTTTTGTAGTATCTGGAAGTGGACATTTGGAGGGCTTTGTAGCCTATGTGGAAAAAGGAAATATCTTCCCATGAATGCGAGATAGAAGTAATCTCAGAAACATGTTTATGCTGTATCTACTCAACTAACTGTGCTGAACATTTCTATTGATAGAGCAGTTTTGAGACACTCTTCTTTTGGAATCTGCAAGTGGATATTTGGAGAGATTTGAGGATTTCGTTGGAAACGGGATTATATATAAAAAGTAGACAGCAGCATTCTCAGAAACTTCTTTGTGATGTTTGCATCCAGCTCTCAGAGTTGAACATTCCCTTTCATAGAGTAGGTTTGAAACCCTCTTTTTATAGTGTCTGGAAGCGGGCATTTGGAGCGCTTTCAGGCCTATGCTTAAAATAGGAAATATCTACCTACAGAAACTAGACAGAAGCATTCTGAGAATCTCGTTTGTGATGTGGGTACTCAACTAACAGTGTTGATCCATTCTTTTGATACAGCAGTTTTGAACCACACTTTTTGTAGAATCTGCAAGAGGATATTTGGATAGCTGTGAGGATTTCGTTGGAAACGGGAATGTCTTCAAAGAAAATCTAGACAGAAACATTCTCAGAAACACCTTCGTGATGTTTGCAATCAAGTCACAGAGTTGAACCTTCCGTTTCATAGAGCAGGTTGGAAACACTCTTATTGTAGTATCTGGAAGTGGACATTTGGAGCGCTTTCAGGCCTATGGTGAAAAAGGAAATATCTTCCCATAAAAACGACATAGAAGCTATCTCAGGAACTTGTTTATGAGGCATCTAATCAACTAACAGTGTTGAACCTTTGTACTGACAGAGCAGTTTGAAACACTCTTTTTTTGGAATCTGCAAGTGGATATTTGGATCGCTTTGAGGATTTCGTTGGAAACGGGATGCAATATAAAACGTACACAGCAGCATACTCAGAAAATACTTTGCCATATTTCCATTCAAGTCACAGAGTGGAACATTCCCATTCATAGAGCAGGTTGGAAACACTCTTTTTGGAGTATCTGGAAGTGGACATTTGGAGCGCTTTCTGAACTATGGTGAAAAAGGAAATATCTTCCAATGAAAACAACACAGAAGCATTCTGAGAAACTTATTTGTGATGTGTGTCCTCAACAAACGGACTTGAACCTTTCGTTTCATGCAGTACTTCTGGAACACTCTTTTTGAAGATTCTGCATGCGGATATTTGGATAGCTTTGAGGATTTCGTTGGAAACGGGCTTACATGTAAAAATTAGACAGCAGCATTCTCAGAAACTTCTTTGTGGTGTCTGCATTCAAGTCACAGAATTGAACATCCCCTCACATAGAGCAGTTGTGCAGCACTCTATTTGTAGTATCTGGAAGTGGACATTTGGAGGGCTTTGTAGCCTATGTGGAAAAAGGAAATATCTTCCCATGAATGCGAGATAGAAGTAATCTCAGAAACATGTTTATGCTGTATCTACTCAACTAACTGTGCTGAACATTTCTATTGATAGAGCAGTTTTGAGACACTCTTCTTTTGGAATCTGCAAGTGGATATTTGGATAGATTTGAGGATTTCGTTGGAAACGGGATTATATATAAAAAGTAGACAGCAGCATTCTCAGAAACTTCTTTGTGATGTTTGCATCCAGCTCTCAGAGTTGAACATTCCCTTTCATAGAGTAGGTTTGAAACCCTCTTTTTATAGTGTCTGGAAGCGGGCATTTGGAGCGCTTTCAGGCCTATGCTGAAAAAGGAAATATCTACCTATAGAAACTAGACAGAAGCATTCTGAGAATCACGTTTGTGATGTGGGTACTCAACTAACAGTGTTGATCCATTCTTTTGATACAGCAGTTTTGAACCACACTTTTTGTAGAATCTGCAAGTGGATATTTGGATAGCTGTGAGGATTTCGTTGGAAACGGGAATGTCTTCATAGAAAATTTAGACAGAAGCATTCTCAGAACCTTGATTGTGATGTGTGTTCTCCACTAACAGAGTTGAACCTTTCTTTTGACAGAACTGTTCTGAAACATTCTTTTTATAGAATCTGGAAGTGGATATTTGGAAAGCTTTGAGGATTTCGTTGGAAACGGGAATATCTTCAAATCAAATCTAGCCAGAAGCATTCTAAGAAACATCTTAGGGATGTTTACATTCAAGTCACAGAGTTGAACATTCCCTTTCACAGAGCAGGTTTGAAACAATCTTCTCGTACTATCTGGCAGTGGACATTTTGAGCTCCTTGGGGCCTATGCTGAAAAAGGAAATATCTTCCGACAAAAACTAGACAGAAGCATTCGCAGAATCACGTTTGTGATGTGTGCACTCAACTGTCAGAATTGAACCTTGGTTTGGACAGAGCACTTTTGAAACACTCTTTTTGTAGAATCTGCAGGTGGATATTTGGCTAGCTTTGAGGATTTCGTTGGAAACGGTAATGTCTTCAAAGAAAATCTAGACAGAAGCATTCTCAGAAACACCTTCGTGATGTTTGCAATCAAGTCACAGAGTTGAACCTTCCGTTTCATAGAGCAGGTTGGAAACACTCTTTGTAGTATCTGGAAGTGGACATTTGGAGGGCTTTGTAGCCTATCTGGAAAAAGGAAATATCTTCCCATGAATGCGAGATAGAAGTAATCTCAGAAACATGTTTATGCTGTATCTACTCAACTAACTGTGCTGAACATTTCTATTGATAGAGCAGTTTTGAGACACTCTTCTTTTGGAATCTGCAAGTGGATATTTGGATAGATTTGAGGATTTCGTTGGAAACGGGATTATATATCAAAAGTAGACAGCAGCATTCTCAGAAACTTCTTTGTGATGTTTGCATCCAGCTCTCAGAGTTGAACATTCCCTTTCATAGAGTAGGTTTGAAACCCTCTTTTTATAGTGTCTGGAAGCGGGCATTTGGAGCGCTTTCAGGCCTATGCTGAAAAAGGAAATATCTACCTATAGAAACTAGACAGAAGCATTCTGAGAATCACGTTTGTGATGTGGGTACTCAACTAACAGTGTTGATCCATTCTTTTGATACAGCAGTTTTGAACCACACTTTTTGTAGAATCTGCAAGTGGATATTTGGATAGCTGTGAGGATTTCGTTGGAAACGGGAATGTCTTCATAGAAAATTTAGACAGAAGCATTCTCAGAACCTTGATTGTGATGTGTGTTCTCCACTAACAGAGTTGAAACTTTCTTTTGACAGAACTGTTCTGAAACATTCTTTTTATAGAATCTGGAAGTGGATATTTGGAAAGCTTTGAGGATTTCGTTGGAAACGGGAATATCTTCAAATCAAATCTAGCCAGAAGCATTCTAAGAAACATCTTAGGGATGTTTACATTCAAGTCACAGAGTTGAACATTCCCTTTCACAGAGCAGGTTTGAAACAATCTTCTCGTACTATCTGGCAGTGGACATTTTGAGCTCCTTGGGGCCTATGCTGAAAAAGGAAATATCTTCCGACAAAAACTAGACAGAAGCATTCGCAGAATCACGTTTGTGATGTGTGCACTCAACTGTCAGAATTGAACCTTGGTTTGGACAGAGCACTTTTGAAACACTCTTTTTGTAGAATCTGCAGGTGGATATTTGGCTAGCTTTGAGGATTTCGTTGGAAACGGTAATGTCTTCAAAGAAAATCTAGACAGAAGCATTCTCAGAAACACCTTCGTGATGTTTGCAATCAAGTCACAGAGTTGAACCTTCCGTTTCATAGAGCAGGTTGGAAACACTCTTTTTGTAGTATCTGGAAGTGGACATTTGGAGGGCTTTGTAGCCTATGTGGAAAAAGGAAATATCTTCCCATGAATGCGAGATAGAAGTAATCTCAGAAACATGTTTATGCTGTATCTACTCAACTAACTGTGCTGAACATTTCTATTGATAGAGCAGTTTTGAGACACTCTTCTTTTGGAATCTGCAAGTGGATATTTGGATAGATTTGAGGATTTCGTTGGAAACGGGATTATATATAAAAAGTAGACAGCAGCATTCTCAGAAACTTCTTTGTGATGTTTGCATCCAGCTCTCAGAGTTGAACATTCCCTTTCATAGAGTAGGTTTGAAACCCTCTTTTTATAGTGTCTGGAAGCGGGCATTTGGAGCGCTTTCAGGCCTATGCTTAAAATAGGAAATATCTACCTACAGAAACTAGACAGAAGCATTCTGAGAATCACGTTTGTGATGTGGGTACTCAACTAACAGTGTTGATCCATTCTTTTGATACAGCAGTTTTGAACCACACTTTTTGTAGAATCTGCAAGAGGATATTTGGATAGCTGTGAGGATTTCGTTGGAAACGGGAATGTCTTCAAAGAAAATCTAGACAGAAGCATTCTCAGAAACACCTTCGTGATGTTTGCAATCAAGTCACAGAGTTGAACCTTCCGTTTCATAGAGCAGGTTGGAAACACTCTTATTGTAGTATCTGGAAGTGGACATTTGGAGCGCTTTCAGGCCTATGGTGAAAAAGGAAATATCTTCCCATAAAAACGACATAGAAGCTATCTCAGGAACTTGTTTATGATGCATCTAATCAACTAACAGTGTTGAACCTTTGTACTGACAGAGCAGTTTGAAACACTCTTTTTTTGGAATCTGCAAGTGGATATTTGGATCGCTTTGAGGATTTCGTTGGAAACGGGATGCAATATAAAACGTACACAGCAGCATACTCAGAAAATACTTTGCCATATTTCCATTCAAGTCAGAGAGTGGAACATTCCCATTCATAGAGCAGGTTTGAAACACTCTTTTTGGAGTATCTGGAAGTGGACATTTGGAGCGCTTTCTGAACTATGGTGAAAAAGGAAATATCTTCCAATGAAAACAAGACAGAAGCATTCTGAGAAACTTATTTGTGATGTGTGTC
This sequence comes from Homo sapiens, assembly GCF_000001405.40. Lineage (NCBI taxonomy): Eukaryota > Metazoa > Chordata > Mammalia > Primates > Hominidae > Homo > Homo sapiens. Next base: position 44,069,145 of record NC_000008.11, read on the forward strand.
CTCAACAAACGGACTTGAACCTTTCGTTTCATGCAGTACTTCTGGAACACTCTTTTTGAAGATTCTGCATGCGGATATTTGGATAGCTTTGAGGATTTCTTTGGAAACGGGCTTACATGTAAAAATTAGACAGCAGCATTCTCAGAAACTTCTTTGTGGTGTCTGCATTCAAGTCACAGAATTGAACTTCCCCTCACATAGAGCAGTTGTGCAGCACTCTATTTGTAGTATCTGGAAGTGGACATTTGGAGGGCTTTGTAGCCTATCTGGAAAAAGGAAATATCTTCCCATGAATGCGAGATAGAAGTAATCTCAGAAACATGTTTATGCTGTATCTACTCAACTAACTGTGCTGAACATTTCTATTGATAGAGCAGTTTTGAGACACTCTTCTTTTGAAATCTGCAAGTGGATATTTGGATAGATTTGAGGATTTCGTTGGAAACGGGATTATATATAAAAAGTAGACAGCAGCATTCTCAGAAACTTCTTTGTGATGTTTGCATCCAGCTCTCAGAGTTGAACATTCCCTTTCATAGAGTAGGTTTGAAACCCTCTTTTTATAGTGTCTAGAAGCGGGCATTTGGAGCGCTTTCAGGCCTATGCTTAAAATAGGAAATATCTACCTACAGAAACTAGACAGAAGCATTCTGAGAATCACGTTTGTGATGTGGGTACTCAACTAACAGTGTTGATCCATTCTTTTGATACAGCAGTTTTGAACCACACTTTTTGTAGAATCTGCAAGAGGATATTTGGATAGCTGTGAGGATTTCGTTGGAAACGGGAATGTCTTCAAAGAAAATCTAGACAGAAGCATTCTCAGAAACACCTTCGTGATGTTTGCAATCAAGTCACAGAGTTGAACCTTCCGTTTCATAGAGCAGGTTGGAAACACTCTTATTGTAGTATCTGGAAGTGGACATTTGGAGCGCTTTCAGGCCTATGGTGAAAAAGGAAATATCTTCCCATAAAAACGACATAGAAGCTATCTCAGGAACTTGTTTATGATGCATCTAATCAACTAACAGTGTTGAACCTTTGTACTGACAGAGCAGTTTGAAACACTCTTTTTTTGGAATCTGCAAGTGGATATTTGGATCGCTTTGAGGATTTCGTTGGAAACGGGATGCAATATAAAACGTACACAGCAGCATACTCAGAAAATACTTTGCCATATTTCCATTCAAGTCACAGAGTGGAACATTCCCATTCATAGAGCAGGTTTGAAACACTCTTTTTGGAGTATCTGGAAGTGGACATTTGGAGCGCTTTCTGAACTATGGTGAAAAAGGAAATATCTTCCAATGAAAACAACACAGAAGCATTCTGAGAAACTTATTTGTGATGTGTGTCCTCAACAAACGGACTTGAACCTTTCGTTTCATGCAGTACTTCTGGAACACTCTTTTTGAAGATTCTGCATGCGGATATTTGGATAGCTTTGAGGATTTCGTTGGAAACGGGCTTACATGTAAAAATTAGACAGCAGCATTCTCAGAAACTTCTTTGTGGTGTCTGCATTCAAGTCACAGAATTGAACTTCCCCTCACATAGAGCAGTTGTGCAGCACTCTATTTGTAGTATCTGGAAGTGGACATTTGGAGGGCTTTGTAGCCTATCTGGAAAAAGGAAATATCTTCCCATGAATGCGAGATAGAAGTAATCTCAGAAACATGTTTATGCTGTATCTACTCAACTAACTGTGCTGAACATTTCTATTGATAGAGCAGTTTTGAGACACTCTTCTTTTGGAATCTGCAAGTGGATATTTGGATAGATTTGAGGATTTCGTTGGAAACGGGATTATATATAAAAAGTAGACAGCAGCATTCTCAGAAACTTCTTTGTGATGTTTGCATCCAGCTCTCAGAGTTGAACATTCCCTTTCATAGAGTAGGTTTGAAACCCTCTTTTTATAGTGTCTGGAAGCGGGCATTTGGAGCGCTTTCAGGCCTATGCTGAAAAAGGAAATATCTACCTATAGAAACTAGACAGAAGCATTCTGAGAATCACGTTTGTGATGTGGGTACTCAACTAACAGTGTTGATCCATTCTTTTGATACAGCAGTTTTGAACCACACTTTTTGTAGAATCTGCAAGTGGATATTTGGATAGCTGTGAGGATTTCGTTGGAAACGGGAATGTCTTCATAGAAAATTTAGACAGAAGCATTCTCAGAACCTTGATTGTGATGTGTGTTCTCCACTAACAGAGTTGAACCTTTCTTTTGACAGAACTGTTCTGAAACATTCTTTTTATAGAATCTGGAAGTGGATATTTGGAAAGCTTTGAGGATTTCGTTGGAAACGGGAATATCTTCAAATCAAATCTAGCCAGAAGCATTCTAAGAAACATCTTAGGGATGTTTACATTCAAGTCACAGAGTTGAACATTCCCTTTCACAGAGCAGGTTTGAAACAATCTTCTCGTACTATCTGGCAGTGGACATTTTGAGCTCCTTGGGGCCTATGCTGAAAAAGGAAATATCTTCCGACAAAAACTAGACAGAAGCATTCGCAGAATCACGTTTGTGATGTGTGCACTCAACTGTCAGAATTGAACCTTGGTTTGGACAGAGCACTTTTGAAACACTCTTTTTGTAGAATCTGCAGGTGGATATTTGGATAGCTGTGAGGATTTCGTTGGAAACGGTAATGTCTTCAAAGAAAATCTAGACAGAAGCATTCTCAGAAACACCTTCGTGATGTTTGCAATCAAGTCACAGAGTTGAACCTTCCGTTTCATAGAGCAGGTTGGAAACACTCTTTTTGTAGTATCTGGAAGTGGACATTTGGAGCGCTTTCAGGCCTATGGTGAAAAAGGAAATATCTTCCCATAAAAACGACATAGAAGCTATCTCAGGAACTTGTTTATGATGCATCTAATCAACTAACAGTGTTGAACCTTTGTACTGACAGAGCACTTTGAAACACTCTTTTTTTGGAATCTGCAAGTGGATATTTGGATCGCTTTGAGGATTTCGTTGGAAACGGGATGCAATATAAAACGTACACAGCAGCATACTCAGAAAATACTTTGCCATATTTCCATTCAAGTCACAGAGTGGAACATTCCCATTCATAGAGCAGGTTGGAAACACTCTTTTTGGAGTATCTGGAAGTGGACATTTGGAGCGCTTTCTGAACTATGGTGAAAAAGGAAATATCTTCCAATGAAAACAAGACAGAAGCATTCTGAGAAACTTATTTGTGATGTGTGTCCTCAACAAACGGACTTGAACCTTTCGTTTCATGCAGTACTTCTGGAACACTCTTTTTGAAGATTCTGCATGCGGATATTTGGATAGCTTTGAGGATTTCGTTGGAAACGGGCTTACATGTAAAAATTAGACAGCAGCATTCTCAGAAACTTCTTTGTGGTGTCTGCATTCAAGTCACAGAATTGAACTTCCCCTCACATAGAGCAGTTGTGCAGCACTCTATTTGTAGTATCTGGAAGTGGACATTTGGAGGGCTTTGTAGCCTATCTGGAAAAAGGAAATATCTTCCCATGAATGCGAGATAGAAGTAATCTCAGAAACATGTTTATGCTGTATCTACTCAACTAACTGTGCTGAACATTTCTATTGATAGAGCAGTTTTGAGACACTCTTCTTTTGGAATCTGCAAGTGGATATTTGGATAGATTTGAGGATTTCGTTGGAAACGGGATTATATATAAAAAGTAGACAGCAGCATTCTCAGAAACTTCTTTGTGATGTTTGCATCCAGCTCTCAGAGTTGAACATTCCCTTTCATAGAGTAGGTTTGAAACCCTCTTTTTATAGTGTCTGGAAGTGGGCATTTGGAGCGCTTTCAGGCCTATGCTTAAAATAGGAAATATCTACCTACAGAAACTAGACAGAAGCATTCTGAGAATCACGTTTGTGATGTGGGTACTCAACTAACAGTGTTGATCCATTCTTTTGATACAGCAGTTTTGAACCACACTTTTTGTAGAATCTGCAAGAGGATATTTGGATAGCTGTGAGGATTTCGTTGGAAACGGGAAAGTCTTCAAAGAAAATCTAGACAGAAGCATTCTCAGAAACACCTTCGTGATGTTTGCAATCAAGTCACAGAGTTGAACCTTCCGTTTCATAGAGCAGGTTGGAAACACTCTTATTGTAGTATCTGGAAGTGGACATTTGGAGCGCTTTCAGGCCTATGGTGAAAAAGGAAATATCTTCCCATAAAAACGACATAGAAGCTATCTCAGGAACTTGTTTATGATGCATCTAATCAACTAACAGTGTTGAACCTTTGTACTGACAGAGCAGTTTGAAACACTCTTTTTTTGGAATCTGCAAGTGGATATTTGGATCGCTTTGAGGATTTCGTTGGAAACGGGATGCAATATAAAACTGTACACAGCAGCATACTCAGAAAATACTTTGCCATATTTCCATTCAAGTCACAGAGTGGAACATTCCCATTCATAGAGCAGGTTTGAAACACTCTTTTTGGAGTATCTGGAAGTGGACATTTGGAGCGCTTTCTGAACTATGGTGAAAAAGGAAATATCTTCCAATGAAAACAAGACAGAAGCATTCTGAGAAACTTATTTGTGATGTGTGTCCTCAACAAACGGACTTGAACCTTTCGTTTCATGCAGTACTTCTGGAACACTCTTTTTGAAGATTCTGCATGCGGATATTTGGATAGCTTTGAGGATTTCGTTGGAAACGGGCTTACATGTAAAAATTAGACAGCAGCATTCTCAGAAACTTCTTTGTGGTGTCTGCATTCAAGTCACAGAATTGAACTTCCCCTCACATAGAGCAGTTGTGCAGCACTCTATTTGTAGTATCTGGAAGTGGACATTTGGAGGGCTTTGTAGCCTATCTGGAAAAAGGAAATATCTTCCCATGAATGCGAGATAGAAGTAATCTGAGAAACATGTTTATGCTGTATCTACTCAACTAACTGTGCTGAACATTTCTATTGATAGAGCAGTTTTGAGACCCTCTTCTTTTGGAATCTGCAAGTGGATATTTGGATAGATTTGAGGATTTCGTTGGAAACGGGATTATATATAAAAAGTAGACAGCAGCATTCTCAGAAACTTCTTTGTGATGTTTGCATCCAGCTCTCAGAGTTGAACATTCCCTTTCATAGAGTAGGTTTGAAACCCTCTTTTTATAGTGTCTGGAAGCGGGCATTTGGAGCGCTTTCAGGCCTATGCTTAAAATAGGAAATATCTACCTACAGAAACTAGACAGAAGCATTCTGAGAATCACGTTTGTGATGTGGGTACTCAACTAACAGTGTTGATCCATTCTTTTGATACAGCAGTTTTGAACCACACTTTTTGTAGAATCTGCAAGAGGATATTTGGATAGCTGTGAGGATTTCGTTGGAAACGGGAATGTCTTCAAAGAAAATCTAGACAGAAGCATTCTCAGAAACACCTTCGTGATGTTTGCAATCAAGTCACAGAGTTGAACCTTCCGTTTCATAGAGCAGGTTGGAAACACTCTTATTGTAGTATCTGGAAGTGGACATTTGGAGCGCTTTCAGGCCTATGGTGAAAAAGGAAATATCTTCCCATAAAAACGACATAGAAGCTATCTCAGGAACTTGTTTATGATGCATCTAATCAACTAACAGTGTTGAACCTTTGTACTGACAGAGCAGTTTGAAACACTCTTTTTTTGGAATCTGCAAGTGGATATTTGGATCGCTTTGAGGATTTCGTTGGAAACGGGATGCAATATAAAACGTACACAGCAGCATACTCAGAAAATACTTTGCCATATTTCCATTCAAGTCACAGAGTGGAACATTCCCATTCATAGAGCAGGTTTGAAACACTCTTTTTGGAGTATCTGGAAGTGGACATTTGGAGCGCTTTCTGAACTATGGTGAAAAAGGAAATATCTTCCAATGAAAACAACACAGAAGCATTCTGAGAAACTTATTTGTGATGTGTGTCCTCAACAAACGGACTTGAACCTTTCGTTTCATGCAGTACTTCTGGAACACTCTTTTTGAAGATTCTGCATTCGGATATTTGGATAGCTTTGAGGATTTCGTTGGAAACGGGCTTACATGTAAAAATTAGACAGCAGCATTCTCAGAAACTTCTTTGTGGTGTCTGCATTCAAGTCACAGAATTGAACTTCCCCTCACATAGAGCAGTTGTGCAGCACTCTATTTGTAGTATCTGGAAGTGGACATTTGGAGGGCTTTGTAGCCTATCTGGAAAAAGGAAATATCTTCCCATGAATGCGAGATAGAAGTAATCTCAGAAACATGTTTATGCTGTATCTACTCAACTAACTGTGCTGAACATTTCTATTGATAGAGCAGTTTTGAGACACTCTTCTTTTGGAATCTGCAAGTGGATATTTGGATAGATTTGAGGATTTCGTTGGAAACGGGATTATATATAAAAAGTAGACAGCAGCATTCTCAGAAACTTCTTTGTGATGTTTGCATCCAGCTCTCAGAGTTGAACATTCCCTTTCATAGAGTAGGTTTGAAACCCTCTTTTTATAGTGTCTGGAAGCGGGCATTTGTAGCGCTTTCAGGCCTATGCTTAAAATAGGAAATATCTACCTACAGAAACTAGACAGGAAGCATTCTGAGAATCACGTTTGTGATGTGGGTACTCAACTAACAGTGTTGATCCATTCTTTTGATACAGCAGTTTTGAACCACACTTTTTGTAGAATCTGCAAGTGGATATTTGGATAGCTGTGAGGATTTCGTTGGAAACGGGAATGTCTTCATAGAAAATTTAGACAGAAGCATTCTCAGAACCTTGATTGTGATGTGTGTTCTCCACTAACAGAGTTGAACCTTTCTTTTGACAGAACTGTTCTGAAACATTCTTTTTATAGAATCTGGAAGTGGATATTTGGAAAGCTTTGAGGATTTCGTTGGAAACGGGAATATCTTCAAATCAAATCTAGCCAGAAGCATTCTAAGAAACATCTTAGGGATGTTTACATTCAAGTCACAGAGTTGAACATTCCCTTTCACAGAGCAGGTTTGAAACAATCTTCTCGTACTATCTGGCAGTGGACATTTTGAGCTCCTTGGGGCCTATGCTGAAAAAGGAAATATCTTCCGACAAAAACTAGACAGAAGCATTCGCAGAATCACGTTTGTGATGTGTGCACTCAACTGTCAGAATTGAACCTTGGTTTGGAGAGAGCACTTTTGAAACACACTTTTTGTAGAATCTGCAGGTGGATATTTGGCTAGCTTTGAGGATTTCGTTGGAAACGGTAATGTCTTCAAAGAAAATACTAGACAGAAACATCCTCAGAAACACCTTCGTGATGTTTGCAATCAAGTCACAGAGTTGAACCTTCCGTTTCATAGAGCAGGTTGGAAACACTCATTTTGTAGTATCTGGAAGTGGACATTTGGAGCGCTTTCAGGCCTATGGTGTAAAAGGAAATATCTTCCCATAAAAGCGACATAGAAGCTATCTCAGGAACTTGTTTATGATGCATCTAATCAACTAACAGTGTTGAACCTTTGTACTGACAGAGCAGTTTGAAACACTCTTTTTTTGGAATCTGCAAGTGGATATTTGGATCGCTTTGAGGATTTCGTTGGAAACGGGATGAATATCAAACGTACACAGCAGCATACTCAGAAAATACTTTGCCATATTTCCATTCAAGTCACAGAGTGGAACATTCCCATTCATAGAGCAGGTTTGAAACACTCTTTTTGGAGTATCTGGAAGTGGACATTTGGAGCGCTTTCTGAACTATGGTGAAAAAGGAAATATCTTCCAATGAAAACAAGACAGAAGCATTCTGAGAAACTTATTTGTGATGCGTGTCCTCAACTAACGTACTCAAACCTTTCGTTTCATGCAGTACTTCTGGAACACTCTTTTTGAAGATTCTGCATGCGGATATTTGGATACCTTTGAGGATTTCGTGGGAAACGGGCTTACATATAAAAATTAGACAGCAGCATTCTCAGAAACTTCTTTGTGGTGTCTGCATTCAAGTCACATAATTGAACATCCCCTCACATAGAGCAGTTGTGCAGCACTCTATTTGTAGTATCTCGAAGTGGACATTTGGAGGGCTTTGTAGCCTATCTGGAAAAAGGAAATATCTTCCCATGAATGCGAGATAGAAGTAATCTCAGAAACATGTTTATGCTGTATCTACTCAACTAACTGTGCTGAACATTTCTATTGATAGAGCAGTTTTGAGACACTCTTCTTTTGGAATCTGCAAGTGGATATTTGGCTAGATTTGAGGATTTCGTTGGAAACGGGATTATATATAAAAAGTAGACAGCAGCATTCTCAGAAACTTCTTTGTGATGTTTGCATCCAGCTCTCAGAGTTGAACATTCCCTTTCATAGAGTAGATTTGAAACCCCCTTTTTATAGTGTCTGGAAGCGGGCATTTGGAGCCCTTTCAGGCCTATGCTGAAAAAGGAAATATCTACCTACAGAAACTAGACAGAAGCATTCTGAGAATCACGTTTTTGATGTGGGTACTCAACTAACAGTGTTGATCCATTCTATTGATACAGCAGTTTTGAACCACCCTTTTTGTAGAATCTGCAAGTGGATATTTGGATAGCTGTGAGGATTTCGTTGGAAACGGGAATGTCTTCATAGAAAATTTAGACAGAAGCATTCTCAGAACCTGGATTGTGATGTGTGTTCTCCACTAACAGAGTTGAACCTTTCTTTTGACAGAACTGTTTTGAAACATTCTTTTTATAGAATCTGTAAGTGGATAGTTGGAAAGCTTTGAGGATTTCGTTGGAAACGGGAATATCTTCAAGTAAAATCTAGCCAGAAGCATTCTAAGAAACATCTTAGGGATGTGTACATTCAAGTCACAGAGTTGAACATTCCCCTTTCTCAGAGCAGGTTTGAAACAATCTTCTCGTACTATCTGGCAGTGGACATTTTGAGCTCCTTGGGGCCTATGCTGAAAAAGGAAATATCTTCCGACAAAAACTAGACAGAAGCATTCGCAGAATCACGTTTGTGATGTGTGCACTCAACTGTCAGAATTGAACCTTTGTTTGGACAGAGCACTTTTGAAACACTCTTTTTGTAGGATCTGCAGGTGGATATTTGGCTAGCTTTGAGGATTTCGTTGGAAACGGTAATGTCTTCAAAGAAAATCTAGACAGAAACATCCTCAGAAACACCTTCGTGATGTTTGCAATCAAGTCACAGAGTTGAACCTTCCGTTTCATAGAGCAGGTTGGAAACACTCATTTTGTAGTATCTGGAAGTGGACATTTGGAGCGCTTTCAGGCCTATGGTGTAAAAGGAAATATCTTCCCATAAAAGCGACATAGAAGCTATCTCAGGAACTTGTTTATGATGCCTCTAATCAACTAACAGTGTTGAACCTTTGTACTGACAGAGCAGTTTGAAACACTCTTTTTTTGGAATCTGCAAGTGGATATTTGGATCGCTTTGAGGATTTCGTTGGAAACGGGATGCAATATAAAACGTACACAGCAGCATACTCAGAAAATACTTTGCCATATTTCCATTAAAGTCACAGAGTGGAACATTCCCATTCATAGAGCAGGTTTGAAACACTCTTTTTGGAGTATCTGGAAGTGGACATTTGGAGTGCTTTCTGAACTATGGTGAAAAGGGAAATATGTTCCAATGAAAACAAGACAGAAGCATTCTGAGAAACTTATTTGTGATGCGTGTCCTCAACTAACGGACTCGAAGCTTTGGTTTCATGCAGTACTTCTGGAACACTCTTTTTGAAGATTCTGCATGCGGATATTTGGTTAGCTTTGAGGATTTCGTTGGAAACGGGCTTACATATAAAAATTAGACAGCAGCATTCTGAGAAACTTCTTTGTGGTGTCTGCATTCAAGTCACAGAATTGAACATCCCCTCACATAGAGCAGTTGTGCAGCACTCTATTTGTAGTATCTCGAAGTGGACATTTGGAGGGCTTTGTAGCCTATCTGGAAAAAGGAAATATCTTCCCATGAATGCGAGATAGAAGTAATCTCAGAAACATGTTTATGCTGTATCTACTCAACTAACTGTGCTGAACATTTCTATTGATAGAGCAGTTTTGAGACACTCTTCTTTTGGAATCTGCAAGTGGATATTTGGCTAGATTTGAGGATTTCGTTGGAAACGGGATTATATATCAAAAGTAGACAGCAGCATTCTCAGAAACTTCTTTGTGATGTTTGCATCCAGCTCTCAGAGTTGAACATTCCCTTTCATAGAGTAGGTTTGAAACCCCCTTTTTATAGTGTCTGGAAGTGGGCATTTGGAGCGCTTTCAGGCCTATGCTGAAAAAGGAAATATCTACCTATAGTAGAAACTAGACAGAAGCATTCTGAGAATCACGTTTGTGATGTGGGTACTCAACTAACAGTGTTGATCCATTCTTTTGATACAGCAGTTTTGAACCACCCTTTTTGTAGAATCTGCAAGTGGATATTTGGATAGCTGTGAGGATTTCGTTGGAAACGGGAATGTCTTCATAGAAAATTTAGACAGAAGCATTCTCAGAACCTGGATTGTGATGTGTGTTCTCCACTAACAGAGTTGAACCTTTCTTTGGACAGAACTGTTTTGAAACATTCTTTTTATAGAATCTGGAAGTGGATATTTGGAAAGCTTTGAGGATTTCGTTGGAAACGGGAATATCTTCAAATAAAATCTAGCCAGAAGCATTCTAAGAAACATCTTAGGGATGTTTACATTCAAGTCACAGAGTTGAACATTCCCCTTTCTCAGAGCAGGTTTGAAACAATCTTCTCGTACTATCTGGCAGTGGACATTTTGAGCTCCTTGGGGCCTATGCTGAAAAAGGAAATATCTTCCGACAAAAACTAGACAGAAGCATTCGCAGAATCACGTTTGTGATGTGTGCACTCAACTGTCAGAATTGAACCTTGGTTTGGACAGAGCACTTTTGAAACACTCTTTTTGTAGAATCTGCAGGTGGATATTTGGCTAGCTTTGAGGATTTCGTTGGAAACGGTAATGTCTTCAAAGAAAATCTAGACAGAAACATCCTCAGAAACACCTTCGTGATGTTTGCAATCAAGTCACAGAGTTGAACCTTCCGATTCATAGTGCAGGTTGGAAACACTCATTTTGTAGTATCTGGAAGTGGACATTTGGAGCGCTTTCAGGCCTATGGTGTAAAAGGAAATATCTTCCCATAAAAGCGACATAGAAGCTATCTCAGGAACTTGTTTATGATGCATCTAATCAACTAACAGTGTTGAACCTTTGTACTGACAGAGCAGTTTGAAACACTCTTTTTTTGGAATCTGCAAGTGGATATTTGGATCGCTTTGAGGATTTCGTTGGAAACGGGATGCAATATAAAACGTACACAGCAGCATACTCAGAAAATACTTTGCCATATTTCCATTCAAGTCACAGAGTGGAACATTCCCATTCATAGAGCAGGTTTGAAACACTCTTTTTGGAGTATCTGGAAGTGGACATTTGGAGCGCTTTCTGAACTATGGTGAAAAAGGAAATATCTTCCAATGAAAACAAGACAGAAGCATTCTGAGAAACTTATTTGTGATGTGTGTCCTCAACAAACGGACTTGAACCTTTCGTTTCATGCAGTACTTCTGGAACACTCTTTTTGAAGATATTGCATGCGGATATTTGGATAGCTTTGAGGATTTCGTTGGAAACGGGCTTACATGTAAAAATTAGACAGCAGCATTCTCAGAAACTTCTTTGTGGTGTCTGCATTCAAGTCACAGAATTGAACTTCCCCTCACATAGAGCAGTTGTGCAGCACTCTATTTGTAGTATCTGGAAGTGGACATTTGGAGGGCTTTGTAGCCTATCTGGAAAAAGGAAATATCTTCCCATGAATGCGAGATAGAAGTAATCTCAGAAACATGTTTATGCTGTATCTACTCAACTAACTGTGCTGAACATTTCTATTGATAGAGCAGTTTTGAGACACTCTTCTTTTGGAATCTGCAAGTGGATATTTGGATAGATTTGAGGATTTCGTTGGAAACGGGATTATATATAAAAAGTAGACAGCAGCATTCTCAGAAACTTCTTTGTGATGTTTGCATCCAGCTCTCAGAGTTGAACATTCCCTTTCATAGAGTAGGTTTGAAACCCTCTTTTTATAGTGTCTGGAAGCGGGCATTTGGAGCGCTTTCAGGCCTATGCTGAAAAAGGAAATATCTACCTATAGAAACTAGACAGAAGCATTCTGAGAATCACGTTTGTGATGTGGGTACTCAACTAACAGTGTTGATCCATTCTTTTGATACAGCAGTTTTGAACCACACTTTTTGTAGAATCTGCAAGTGGATATTTGGATAGCTGTGAGGATTTCGTTGGAAACGGGAATGTCTTCATAGAAAATTTAGACAGAAGCATTCTCAGAACCTTGATTGTGATGTGTGTTCTCCACTAACAGAGTTGAACCTTTCTTTTGACAGAACTGTTCTGAAACATTCTTTTTATAGAATCTGGAAGTGGATATTTGGAAAGCTTTGAGGATTTCGTTGGAAACGGGAATATCTTCAAATCAAATCTAGCCAGAAGCATTCTAAGAAACATCTTAGGGATGTTTACATTCAAGTCACAGAGTTGAACATTCCCTTTCACAGAGCAGGTTTGAAACAATCTTCTCGTACTATCTGGCAGTGGACATTTTGAGCTCCTTGGGGCCTATGCTGAAAAAGGAAATATCTTCCGACAAAAACTAGACAGAAGCATTCGCAGAATCACGTTTGTGATGTGTGCACTCAACTGTCAGAATTGAACCTTGGTTTGGACAGAGCACTTTTGAAACACTCTTTTTGTAGAATCTGCAGGTGGATATTTGGCTAGCTTTGAGGATTTCGTTGGAAACGGTAATGTCTTCAAAGAAAATCTAGACAGAAGCATTCTCAGAAACACCTTCATGATGTTTGCAATCAAGTCACAGAGTTGAACCTTCCGTTTCATAGAGCAGGTTGGAAACACTCTTTTTGTAGTATCTGGAAGTGGACATTTGGAGGGCTTTGTAGCCTATCTGGAAAAAGGAAATATCTTCCCATGAATGCGAGATAGAATCTATATCAGGAACTTGTTTATGATGCATCTAATCAACTAACAGTGTTGAACCTTTGTACTGACAGAGCAGTTTGAAACACTCTTTTTTTGGAATCTGCAAGTGGATATTTGGATCGCTTTGAGGATTTCGTTGGAAACGGGATGCAATATAAAACGTACACAGCAGCATACTCAGAAAATACTTTGCCATATTTCCATTCAAGTCACAGAGTGGAACATTCCCATTCATAGAGCAGGTTGGAAACACTCTTTTTGGAGTATCTGGAAGTGGACATTTGGAGCGCTTTCTGAACTATGGTGAAAAAGGAAATATCTTCCAATGAAAACAAGACAGAAGCATTCTGAGAAACTTATTTGTGATGTGTGTCCTCAACAAACGGACTTGAACCTTTCGTTTCATGCAGTACTTCTGGAACACTCTTTTTGAAGATTCTGCATGCGGATATTTGGATAGCTTTGAGGATTTCGTTGGAAACGGGCTTACATGTAAAAATTAGACAGCAGCATTCTCAGAAACTTCTTTGTGGTGTCTGCATTCAAGTCACAGAATTGAACATCCCCTCACATAGAGCAGCTGTGCAGCACTCTATTTGTAGTATCTCGAAGTGGACATTTGGAGGGCTTTGTAGCCTATCTGGAAAAAGGAAATATCTTCCCATGAATGCGAGATAGAAGTAATCTCAGAAACATGTTTATGCTGTATCTACTCAACTAACTGTGCTGAACATTTCTATTGATAGAGCAGTTTTCAGACACTCTTCTTTTGGAATCTGCAAGTGGATATTTGGATAGATTTGAGGATTTCGTTGGAAACGGGATTATATATAAAAAGTAGACAGCAGCATTCTCAGAAACTTCTTTGTGATGTTTGCATCCAGCTCTCAGAGTTGAACATTCCCTTTCATAGAGTAGGTTTGAAACCCTCTTTTTATAGTGTCTGGAAGCGGGCATTTGGAGCGCTTTCAGGCCTATGCTGAAAAAGGAAATATCTACCTATAGAAACTAGACAGAAGCATTCTGAGAATCACGTTTGTGATGTGGGTACTCAACTAACAGTGTTGATCCATTCTTTTGATACAGCAGTTTTGAACCACACTTTTTGTAGAATCTGCAAGTGGATATTTGGATAGCTGTGAGGATTTCGTTGGAAACGGGAATGTCTTCATAGAAAATTTAGACAGAAGCATTCTCAGAACCTTGATTGTGATGTGTGTTCTCCACTAACAGAGTTGAACCTTTCTTTTGACAGAACTGTTCTGAAACATTCTTTTTATAGAATCTGGAAGTGGATATTTGGAAAGCTTTGAGGATTTCGTTGGAAACGGGAATATCTTCAAATCAAATCTAGCCAGAAGCATTCTAAGAAACATCTTAGGGATGTTTACATTCAAGTCACAGAGTTGAACATTCCCTTTCACAGAGCAGGTTTGAAACAATCTTCTCGTACTATCTGGCAGTGGACATTTTGAGCTCCTTGGGGCCTATGCTGAAAAAGGAAATATCTTCCGACAAAAACTAGACAGAAGCATTCGCAGAATCACGTTTGTGATGTGTGCACTCAACTGTCAGAATTGAACCTTGGTTTGGACAGAGCACTTTTGAAACACTCTTTTTGTAGAATCTGCAGGTGGATATTTGGCTAGCTTTGAGGATTTCGTTGGAAACGGTAATGTCTTCAAAGAAAATCTAGACAGAAGCATTCTCAGAAACACCTTCGTGATGTTTGCAATCAAGTCACAGAGTTGAACCTTCCGTTTCATAGAGCAGGTTGGAAACACTCTTTTTGTAGTATCTGGAAGTGGACATTTGGAGGGCTTTGTAGCCTATCTGGAAAAAGGAAATATCTTCCCATGAATGCGAGATAGAAGTAATCTCAGAAACATGTTTATGCTGTATCTACTCAACTAACTGTGCTGAACATTTCTATTGATAGAGCAGTTTTGAGACACTCTTCTTTTGGAATCTGCAAGTGGATATTTGGATAGATTTGAGGATTTCGTTGGAAACGGGATTATATATAAAAAGTAGACAGCAGCATTCTCAGAAACTTCTTTGTGATGTTTGCATCCAGCTCTCAGAGTTGAACATTCCCTTTCATAGAGTAGGTTTGAAACCCTCTTTTTATAGTGTCTGGAAGCGGGCATTTGGAGCGCTTTCAGGCCTATGCTTAAAATAGGAAATATCTACCTACAGAAACTAGACAGAAGCATTCTGAGAATCACGTTTGTGATGTGGGTACCTCAACTAACAGTGTTGATCCATTCTTTTGATACAGCAGTTTTGAACCACACTTTTTGTAGAATCTGCAAGAGGATATTTGGATAGCTGTGAGGATTTCGTTGGAAACGGGAATGTCTTCAAAGAAAATCTAGACAGAAGCATTCTCAGAAACACCTTCGTGATGTTTGCAATCAAGTCACAGAGTTGAACCTTCCGTTTCATAGAGCAGGTTGGAAACACTCTTATTGTAGTATCTGGAAGTGGACATTTGGAGCGCTTTCAGGCCTATGGTGAAAAAGGAAATATCTTCCCATAAAAACGACATAGAATCTATATCAGGAACTTGTTTATGATGCATCTAATCAACTAACAGTGTTGAACCTTTGTACTGACAGAGCAGTTTGAAACACTCTTTTTTTGGAATCTGCAAGTGGATATTTGGATCGCTTTGAGGATTTCGTTGGAAACGGGATGCAATATAAAACGTACACAGCAGCATACTCAGAAAATACTTTGCCATATTTCCATTCAAGTCACAGAGTGGAACATTCCCATTCATAGAGCAGGTTGGAAACACTCTTTTTGGAGTATCTGGAAGTGGACATTTGGAGCGCTTTCTGAACTATGGTGAAAAAGGAAATATCTTCCAATGAAAACAAGACAGAAGCATTCTGAGAAACTTATTTGTGATGTGTGTCCTCAACAAACGGACTTGAACCTTTCGTTTCATGCAGTACTTCTGGAACACTCTTTTTGAAGATTCTGCATGCGGATATTTGGATAGCTTTGAGGATTTCGTTGGAAACGGGCTTACATGTAAAAATTAGACAGCAGCATTCTCAGAAACTTCTTTGTGGTGTCTGCATTCAAGTCACAGAATTGAACTTCCCCTCACATAGAGCAGTTGTGCAGCACTCTATTTGTAGTATCTGGAAGTGGACATTTGGAGGGCTTTGTAGCCTATCTGGAAAAAGGAAATATCTTCCCATGAATGCGAGATAGAAGTAATCTCAGAAACATGTTTATGCTGTATCTACTCAACTAACTGTGCTGAACATTTCTATTGATAGAGCAGTTTTGAGACACTCTTCTTTTGGAATCTGCAAGTGGATATTTGGATAGATTTGAGGATTTTCGTTGGAAACGGGATTATATATCAAAAGTAGACAGCAGCATTCTCAGAAACTTCTTTGTGATGTTTGCATCCAGCTCTCAGAGTTGAACATTCCCTTTCATAGAGTAGGTTTGAAACCCTCTTTTTATAGTGTCTGGAAGCGGGCATTTGGAGCGCTTTCAGGCCTATGCTTAAAATAGGAAATATCTACCTACAGAAACTAGACAGAAGCATTCTGAGAATCACGTTTGTGATGTGGGTACTCAACTAACAGTGTTGATCCATTCTTTTGATACAGCAGTTTTGAACCACACTTTTTGTAGAATCTGCAAGAGGATATTTGGATAGCTGTGAGGATTTCGTTGGAAACGGGAATGTCTTCAAAGAAAATCTAGACAGAAGCATTCTCAGAAACACCTTCGTGATGTTTGCAATCAAGTCACAGAGTTGAACCTTCCGTTTCATAGAGCAGGTTGGAAACACTCTTATTGTAGTATCTGGAAGTGGACATTTGGAGCGCTTTCAGGCCTATGGTGAAAAAGGAAATATCTTCCCATAAAAACGACATAGAAGCTATCTCAGGAACTTGTTTATGATGCATCTAATCAACTAACAGTGTTGAACCTTTGTACTGACAGAGCAGTTTGAAACACTCTTTTTTTGGAATCTGCAAGTGGATATTTGGATCGCTTTGAGGATTTCGTTGGAAACGGGATGCAATATAAAACGTACACAGCAGCATACTCAGAAAATACTTTGCCATATTTCCATTCAAGTCACAGAGTGGAACATTCCCATTCATAGAGCAGGTTGGAAACACTCTTTTTGGAGTATCTGGAAGTGGACATTTGGAGCGCTTTCTGAACTATGGTGAAAAAGGAAATATCTTCCAATGAAAACAAGACAGAAGCATTCTGAGAAACTTATTTGTGATGTGTGTCCTCAACAAACGGACTTGAACCTTTCGTTTCATGCAGTACTTCTGGAACACTCTTTTTGAAGATTCTGCATGTGGATATTTGGATAGCTTTGAGGATTTCGTTGGAAACGGGCTTACATGTAAAAATTAGACAGCAGCATTCTCAGAAACTTCTTTGTGGTGTCTGCATTCAAGTCACAGAATTGAACATCCCCTCACATAGAGCAGTTGTGCAGCACTCTATTTGTAGTATCTCGAAGTGGACATTTGGAGGGCTTTGTAGCCTATGTGGAAAAAGGAAATATCTTCCCATGAATGCGAGATAGAAGTAATCTCAGAAACATGTTTATGCTGTATCTACTCAACTAAATGTGCTGAACATTTCTATTGATAGAGCAGTTTTGAGACACTCTTCTTTTGGAATCTGCAAGTGGATATTTGGATAGATTTGAGGATTTCGTTGGAAACGGGATTATATATAAAAAGTAGACAGCAGCATTCTCAGAAACTTCTTTGTGATGTTTGCATCCAGCTCTCAGAGTTGAACATTCCCTTTCATAGAGTAGGTTTGAAACCCTCTTTTTATAGTGTCTGGAAGCGGGCATTTGGAGCGCTTTCAGGCCTATGCTGAAAAAGGAAATATCTACCTATAGAAACTAGACAGAAGCATTCTGAGAATCACGTTTGTGATGTGGGTACTCAACTAACAGTGTTGATCCATTCTTTTGATACAGCAGTTTTGAACCACACTTTTTGTAGAATCTGCAAGTGGATATTTGGATAGCTGTGAGGATTTCGTTGGAAACGGGAATGTCTTCATAGAAAATTTAGACAGAAGCATTCTCAGAACCTTGATTGTGATGTGTGTTCTCCACTAACAGAGTTGAACCTTTCTTTTGACAGAACTGTTCTGAAACATTCTTTTTATAGAATCTGGAAGTGGATATTTGGAAAGCTTTGAGGATTTCGTTGGAAACGGGAATATCTTCAAATAAAATCTAGCCAGAAGCATTCTAAGAAACATCTTAGGGATGTTTACATTCAAGTCACAGAGTTGAACATTCCCTTTCACAGAGCAGGTTTGAAACAATCTTCTCGTACTATCTGGCAGTGGACATTTTGAGCTCTTTGGGGCCTATGCTGAAAAAGGAAATATCTTCCGACAAAAACTAGACAGAAGCATTCGCAGAATCACGTTTGTGATGTGTGCACTCAACTGTCAGAATTGAACCTTGGTTTGGAGAGAGCACTTTTGAAACACTCTTTTTGTAGAATCTGCAGGTGGATATTTGGCTAGCTTTGAGGATTTCGTTGGAAACGGTAATGTCTTCAAAGAAAATCTAGACAGAAGCATTCTCAGAAACACCTTCGTGATGTTTGCAATCAAGTCACAGAGTTGAACCTTCCGTTTCATAGAGCAGGTTGGAAACACACTTTTTGTAGTATCTGGAAGTGGACATTTGGAGGGCTTTGTAGCCTATCTGGAAAAAGGAAATATCTTCCCATGAATGCGAGATAGAAGTAATCTCAGAAACATGTTTATGCTGTATCTACTCAACTAACTGTGCTGAACATTTCTATTGATAGAGCAGTTTTGAGACACTCTTCTTTTGGAATCTGCAAGTGGATATTTGGATAGATTTGAGGATTTCGTTGGAAACGGGATTATATATAAAAAGTAGACAGCAGCATTCTCAGAAACTTCTTTGTGATGTTTGCATCCAGCTCTCAGAGTTGAACATTCCCTTTCATAGAGTAGGTTTGAAACCCTCTTTTTATAGTGTCTGGAAGCGGGCATTTGGAGCGCTTTCAGGCCTATGCTGAAAAAGGAAATATCTACCTATAGAAACTAGACAGAAGCATTCTGAGAATCACGTTTGTGATGTGGGTACTCAACTAACAGTGTTGATCCATTCTTTTGATACAGCAGTTTTGAACCACACTTTTTGTAGAATCTGCAAGTGGATATTTGGATAGCTGTGAGGATTTCGTTGGAAACGGGAATGTCTTCATAGAAAATTTAGACAGAAGCATTCTCAGAACCTTGATTGTGATGTGTGTTCTCCACTAACAGAGTTGAACCTTTCTTTTGACAGAACTGTTCTGAAACATTCTTTTTATAGAATCTGGAAGTGGATATTTGGAAAGCTTTGAGGATTTCATTGGAAACGGGAATATCTTCAAATAAAATCTAGCCAGAAGCATTCTAAGAAACATCTTAGGGATGTTTACATTCAAGTCACAGAGTTGAACATTCCCTTTCACAGAGCAGGTTTGAAACAATCTTCTCGTACTATCTGGCAGTGGACATTTTGAGCTCCTTGGGGCCTATGCTGAAAAAGGAAATATCTTCCGACAAAAACTAGACAGAAGCATTCGCAGAATCACGTTTGTGATGTGTGCACTCAACTGTCAGAATTGAACCTTGGTTTGGACAGAGCACTTTTGAAACACTCTTTTTGTAGAATCTGCAGGTGGATATTTGGCTAGCTTTGAGGATTTCGTTGGAAACGGTAATGTCTTCAAAGAAAATCTAGACAGAAGCATTCTCAGAAACACCTTCGTGATGTTTGCAATCAAGTCACAGAGTTGAACCTTCCGTTTCATAGAGCAGGTTGGAAACACTCTTTTTGTAGTATCTGGAAGTGGACATTTGGAGGGCTTTGTAGCCTATCTGGAAAAAGGAAATATCTTCCCATGAATGCGAGATAGAAGTAATCTCAGAAACATGTTTATGCTGTATCTACTCAACTAACTGTGCTGAACATTTCTATTGATAGAGCAGTTTTGAGACACTCTTCTTTTGGAATCTGCAAGTGGATATTTGGATAGATTTGAGGATTTCGTTGGAAACGGGATTATATATAAAAAGTAGACAGCAGCATTCTCAGAAACTTCTTTGTGATGTTTGCATCCAGCTCTCAGAGTTGAACATTCCCTTTCATAGAGTAGGTTTGAAACCCTCTTTTTATAGTGTCTGGAAGCGGGCATTTGGAGCGCTTTCAGGCCTATGCTGAAAAAGGAAATATCTACCTATAGAAACTAGACAGAAGCATTCTGAGAATCACGTTTGTGATGTGGGTACTCAACTAACAGTGTTGATCCATTCTTTTGATACAGCAGTTTTGAACCACACTTTTTGTAGAATCTGCAAGTGGATATTTGGATAGCTGTGAGGATTTCGTTGGAAACGGGAATGTCTTCATAGAAAATTTAGACAGAAGCATTCTCAGAACCTTGATTGTGATGTGTGTTCTCCACTAACAGAGTTGAACCTTTCTTTTGACAGAACTGTTCTGAAACATTCTTTTTATAGAATCTGGAAGTGGATATTTGGAAAGCTTTGAGGATTTCGTTGGAAACGGGAATATCTTCAAATCAAATCTAGCCAGAAGCATTCTAAGAAACAGCTTAGGGATGTTTACATTCAAGTCACAGAGTTGAACATTCCCTTTCACAGAGCAGGTTTGAAACAATCTTCTCGTACTATCTGGCAGTGGACATTTTGAGCTCCTTGGGGCCTATGCTGAAAAAGGAAATATCTTCCGACAAAAACTAGACAGAAGCATTCGCAGAATCACGTTTGTGATGTGTGCACTCAACTGTCAGAATTGAACCTTGGTTTGGAGAGAGCACTTTTGAAACACTCTTTTTGTAGAATCTGCAGGTGGATATTTGGCTAGCTTTGAGGATTTCGTTGGAAACGGTAATGTCTTCAAAGAAAATCTAGACAGAAGCATTCTCAGAAACACCTTCGTGATGTTTGCAATCAAGTCACAGAGTTGAACCTTCCGTTTCATAGAGCAGGTTGGAAACACTCTTTTTGTAGTATCTGGAAGTGGACATTTGGAGTGCTTTCAGGCCTATGGTGAAAAAGGAAATATCTTCCCATAAAAACGACATAGAAGCTATCTCAGGAACTTGTTTATGATGCATCTAATCAACTAACAGTGTTGAACCTTTGTACTGACAGAGCAGTTTGAAACACTCTTTTTTTGGAATCTGCAAGTGGATATTTTGATCGCTTTGAGGATTTCGTTGGAAACGGGATGCAATATAAAACGTACACAGCAGCATACTCAGTAAAATACTTTGCCATATTTCCATTCAAGTCACAGAGTGGAACATTCCCATTCATAGAGCAGGTTTGAAACACTTTTTTTGGAGTGTCTGGAAGTGGACATTTGGAACGCTTTCAGAACTATGGTGAAAAAGGAAATATCTTCCAATGAAAACAAGACAGAAGCATTCTGAGAA
Organism: Homo sapiens; assembly: GCF_000001405.40. Classification (NCBI taxonomy): domain Eukaryota; kingdom Metazoa; phylum Chordata; class Mammalia; order Primates; family Hominidae; genus Homo; species Homo sapiens. The sequence continues at coordinate 44,090,703 of NC_000008.11, forward strand.
ACTTATTTGTGATGTGTGTCCTCAACAAACGGACTTGAACCTTTCGTTTCATGCAGTACTTCTGGAACACTCTTTTTGAAGATTCTGCATTCGGATATTTGGATAGCTTTGAGGATTTCGTTGGAAACGGGCTTACATGTAAAAATTAGACAGCAGCATTCTCAGAAACTTCTTTGTGGTGTCTGCATTCAAGTCACAGAATTGAACTTCCCCTCACATAGAGCAGTTGTGCAGCACTCTATTTGTAGTATCTCGAAGTGGACATTTGGAGGGCTTTGTAGCCTATCTGGAAAAAGGAAATATCTTCCCATGAATGCGAGATAGAAGTAATCTCAGAAACATGTTTATGCTGTATCTACTCAACTAACTGTGCTGAACATTTCTATTGATAGAGCAGTTTTGAGACACTCTTCTTTTGGAATCTGCAAGTGGATATTTGGATAGATTTGAGGATTTCGTTGGAAACGGGATTATATATAAAAAGTAGACAGCAGCATTCTCAGAAACTTCTTTGTGATGTTTGCATCCAGCTCTCAGAGTTGAACATTCCCTTTCATAGAGTAGGTTTGAAACCCTCTTTTTATAGTGTCTGGAAGCGGGCATTTGGAGCGCTTTCAGGCCTATGCTTAAAATAGGAAATATCTACCTACAGAAACTAGACAGAAGCATTCTGAGAATCACGTTTGTGATGTGGGTACTCAACTAACAGTGTTGATCCATTCTTTTGATACAGCAGTTTTGAACCACACTTTTTGTAGAATCTGCAAGTGGATATTTGGATAGCTGTGAGGATTTCGTTGGAAACGGGAATGTCTTCATAGAAAATTTAGACAGAAGCATTCTCAGAAACACCTTCGTGATGTTTGCAATCAAGTCACAGAGTTGAACCTTCCGTTTCATAGAGCAGGTTGGAAACACTCTTATTGTAGTATCTGGAAGTGGACATTTGGAGCGCTTTCAGGCCTATGGTGAAAAAGGAAATATCTTCCCATAAAAACGACATAGAAGCTATCTCAGGAACTTGTTTATGATGCATCTAATCAACTAACAGTGTTGAACCTTTGTACTGACAGAGCAGTTTGAAACACTCTTTTTTTGGAATCTGCAAGTGGATATTTGGATCGCTTTGAGGATTTCGTTGGAAACGGGATGCAATATAAAACGTACACAGCAGCATACTCAGAAAATACTTTGCCATGTTTCCATTCAAGTCACAGAGTGGAACATTCCCATTCATAGAGCAGGTTGGAAACACTCTTTTTGGAGTATCTGGAAGTGGACATTTGGAGCGCTTTCTGAACTATGGTGAAAAAGGAAATATCTTCCAATGAAAACAAGACAGAAGCATTCTGAGAAACTTATTTGTGATGTGTGTCCTCAACAAACGGACTTGAACCTTTCGTTTCATGCAGTACTTCTGGAACACTCTTTTTGAAGATTCTGCATGCGGATATTTGGATAGCTTTGAGGATTTCGTTGGAAACGGGCTTACATGTAAAAATTAGACAGCAGCATTCTCAGAAACTTCTTTGTGGTGTCTGCATTCAAGTCACAGAATTGAACTTCCCCTCACATAGAGCAGTTGTGCAGCACTCTATTTGTAGTATCTGGAAGTGGACATTTGGAGGGCTTTGTAGCCTATCTGGAAAAAGGAAATATCTTCCCATGAATGCGAGATAGAAGTAATCTCAGAAACATGTTTATGCTGTATCTACTCAACTAACTGTGCTGAACATTTCTATTGATAGAGCAGTTTTGAGACACTCTTCTTTTGGAATCTGCAAGTGGATATTTGGATAGATTTGAGGATTTCGTTGGAAACGGGATTATATATAAAAAGTAGACAGCAGCATTCTCAGAAACTTCTTTGTGATGTTTGCATCCAGCTCTCAGAGTTGAACATTCCCTTTCATAGAGTAGGTTTGAAACCCTCTTTTTATAGTGTCTGGAAGCGGGCATTTGGAGCGCTTTCAGGCCTATGCTTAAAATAGGAAATATCTACCTACAGAAACTAGACAGAAGCATTCTGAGAATCACGTTTGTGATGTGGGTACTCAACTAACAGTGTTGATCCATTCTTTTGATACAGCAGTTTTGAACCACACTTTTTGTAGAATCTGCAAGAGGATATTTGGCTAGCTTTGAGGATTTCGTTGGAAATGGTAATGTCTTCAAAGAAAATCTAGACAGAAGCATTCTCAGAAACACCTTCGTGATGTTTGCAATCAAGTCACAGAGTTGAACCTTCCGTTTCATAGAGCAGGTTGGAAACACTCTTTTTGTAGTATCTGGAAGTGGACATTTGGAGGGCTTTGTAGCCTATCTGGAAAAAGGAAATATCTTCCCATGAATGCGAGATAGAAGTAATCTCAGAAACATGTTTATGCTGTATCTACTCAACTAACTGTGCTGAACATTTCTATTGATAGAGCAGTTTTGAGACACTCTTCTTTTGGAATCTGCAAGTGGATATTTGGATAGATTTGAGGATTTCGTTGGAAACGGGATTATATATCAAAAGTAGACAGCAGCATTCTCAGAAACTTCTTTGTGATGTTTGCATCCAGCTCTCAGAGTTGAACATTCCCTTTCATAGAGTAGGTTTGAAACCCTCTTTTTATAGTGTCTGGAAGCGGGCATTTGGAGCGCTTTCGGGCCTATGCTGAAAAAGGAAATATCTACCTATAGAAACTAGACAGAAGCATTCTGAGAATCACGTTTGTGATGTGGGTACTCAACTAACAGTGTTGATCCATTCTTTTGATACAGCAGTTTTGAACCACACTTTTTGTAGAATCTGCAAGTGGATATTTGGATAGCTGTGAGGATTTCGTTGGAAACGGGAATGTCTTCATAGAAAATTTAGACAGAAGCATTCTCAGAACCTTGATTGTGATGTGTGTTCTCCACTAACAGAGTTGAACCTTTCTTTTGACAGAACTGTTCTGAAACATTCTTGTTATAGAATCTGGAAGTGGATATTTGGAAAGCTTTGAGGATTTCGTTGGAAACGGGAATATCTTCAAATCAAATCTAGCCAGAAGCATTCTAAGAAACATCTTAGGGATGTTTACATTCAAGTCACAGAGTTGAACATTCCCTTTCACAGAGCAGGTTTGAAACAATCTTCTCGTACTATCTGGCAGTGGACATTTTGAGCTCCTTGGGGCCTATGCTGAAAAAGGAAATATCTTCCGACAAAAACTAGACAGAAGCATTCGCAGAATCACGTTTGTGATGTGTGCACTCAACTGTCAGAATTGAACCTTGGTTTGGACAGAGCACTTTTGAAACACTCTTTTTGTAGAATCTGCAGGTGGATATTTGGCTAGCTTTGAGGATTTCGTTGGAAACGGTAATGTCTTCAAAGAAAATCTAGACAGAAAACATTCTCAGAAACACCTTCATGATGTTTGCAATCAAGTCACAGTAGTTGAACCTTCCGTTTCATAGAGCAGGTTGGAAACACTCTTTTTGTAGTATCTGGAAGTGGACATTTGGAGCGCTTTCAGGCCTATGGTGAAAAAGGAAATATCTTCCCATAAAAACGACATAGAAGCTATCTCAGGAACTTGTTTATGATGCATCTAATCAACTAACAGTGTTGAACCTTTGTACTGACAGAGCAGTTTGAAACACTCTTTTTTTGGAATCTGCAAGTGGATATTTGGATCGCTTTGAGGATTTCGTTGGAAACGGGATGCAATATAAAACGTACACAGCAGCATACTCAGAAAATACTTTGCCATATTTCCATTCAAGTCACAGAGTGGAACATTCCCATTCATAGAGCAGGTTGGAAACACTCTTTTTGGAGTATCTGGAAGTGGACATTTGGAGCGCTTTCTGAACTATGGTGAAAAAGGAAATATCTTCCAATGAAAACAAGACAGAAGCATTCTGAGAAACTTATTTGTGATGTGTGTCCTCAACAAACGGACTTGAACCTTTCGTTTCATGCAGTACTTCTGGAACACTCTTTTTGAAGATTCTGCATGCGGATATTTGGATAGCTTTGAGGATTTCGTTGGAAACGGGCTTACATGTAAAAATTAGACAGCAGCATTCTCAGAAACTTCTTTGTGGTGTCTGCATTCAAGTCACAGAATTGAACTTCCCCTCACATAGAGCAGTTGTGCAGCACTCTATTTGTAGTATCTGGAAGTGGACATTTGGAGGGCTTTGTAGCCTATCTGGAAAAAGGAAATATCTTCCCATGAATGCGAGATAGAAGTAATCTCAGAAACATGTTTATGCTGTATCTACTCAACTAACTGTGCTGAACATTTCTATTGATAGAGCAGTTTTGAGACACTCTTCTTTTGGAATCTGCAAGTGGATATTTGGATAGATTTGAGGATTTCGTTGGAAACGGGATTATATATCAAAAGTAGACAGCAGCATTCTCAGAAACTTCTTTGTGATGTTTGCATCCAGCTCTCAGAGTTGAACATTCCCTTTCATAGAGTAGGTTTGAAACCCTCTTTTTATAGTGTCTGGAAGCGGGCATTTGGAGCGCTTTCAGGCCTATGCTGAAAATAGGAAATATCTACCTACAGAAACTAGACAGAAGCATTCTGAGAATCACGTTTGTGATGTGGGTACTCAACTAACAGTGTTGATCCATTCTTTTGATACAGCAGTTTTGAACCACACTTTTTGTAGAATCTGCAAGTGGATATTTGGATAGCTGTGAGGATTTCGTTGGAAACGGGAATGTCTTCAAAGAAAATCTAGACAGAAGCATTCTCAGAAACACCTTCGTGATGTTTGCAATCAAGTCACAGAGTTGAACCTTCCGTTTCATAGAGCAGGTTGGAAACACTCTTATTGTAGTATCTGGAAGTGGACATTTGGAGCGCTTTCAGGCCTATGGTGAAAAAGGAAATATCTTCCCATAAAAACGACATAGAAGCTATCTCAGGAACTTGTTTATGATGCATCTAATCAACTAACAGTGTTGAACCTTTGTACTGACAGAGCAGTTTGAAACACTCTTTTTTTGGAATCTGCAAGTGGATATTTGGATCGCTTTGAGGATTTCGTTGGAAACGGGATGCAATATAAAACGTACACAGCAGCATACTCAGAAAATACTTTGCCATATTTCCATTCAAGTCACAGAGTGGAACATTCCCATTCATAGAGCAGGTTTGAAACACTCTTTTTGGAGTATCTGGAAGTGGACATTTGGAGCGCTTTCTGAACTATGGTGAAAAAGGAAATATCTTCCAATGAAAACAAGACAGAAGCATTCTGAGAAACTTATTTGTGATGCGTGTCCTCAACTAACGGACTCGAACCTTTCGTTTCATGCAGTACTTCTGGAACACTCTTTTTGAAGATTCTGCATGCGGATATTTGGATAGCTTTGAGGATTTCGTTGGAAACGGGCTTACATATAAAAATTATACAGCAGCATTCTCAGAAACTTCTTTGTGGTGTCTGCATTCAAGTCACAGAATTGAACATCCCCTCACATAGAGCAGTTGTGCAGCACTCTATTTGTAGTATCTCGAAGTGGACATTTGGAGGGCTTTGTAGCCTATCTGGAAACAGGAAATATCTTCCCATGAATGCGAGATAGAAGTAATCTCAGAAACATGTTTATGCTGTATCTACTCAACTAACTGTGCTGAACATTTCTATTGATAGAGCAGTTTTGAGACACTCTTCTTTTGGAATCTGCAAGTGGATATTTGGATAGATTTGAGGATTTCGTTGGAAACGGGATTATATATAAAAAGTAGACAGCAGCATTCTCAGAAACTTCTTTGTGATGTTTGCATCCAGCTCTCAGAGTTGAACATTCCCTTTCATAGAGTAGGTTTGAAACCCTCTTTTTATAGTGTCTGGAAGCGGGCATTTGGAGCGCTTTCAGGCCTATGCTGAAAAAGGAGACATCTACCTATAGAAACTAGACAGAAGCATTCCGAGAATCACGTTTGTGATGTGGGTACTCAACTAACAGTGTTGATCCATTCTTTTGATACAGCAGTTTTGAACCACACTTTTTGTAGAATCTGCAAGAGGATATTTGGATAGCTGTGAGGATTTCGTTGGAAACGGGAATGTCTTCAAAGAAAATCTAGACAGAAGCATTCTCAGAAACACCTTCGTGATGTTTGCAATCAAGTCACAGAGTTGAACCTTCCGTTTCATAGAGCAGGTTGGAAACACTCTTATTGTAGTATCTGGAAGTGGACATTTGGAGCGCTTTCAGGCCTATGGTGAAAAAGGAAATATCTTCCCATAAAAACGACATAGAAGCTATCTCAGGAACTTGTTTATGATGCATCTAATCAACTAACAGTGTTGAACCTTTGTACTGACAGAGCAGTTTGAAACACTCTTTTTTTGGAATCTGCAAGTGGATATTTGGATCACTTTGAGGATTTCGTTGGAAACGGGATGCAATATAAAACGTACACAGCAGCATACTCAGAAAATACTTTGCCATGTTTCCATTCAAGTCACAGAGTGGAACATTCCCATTCATAGAGCAGGTTGGAAACACTCTTTTTGGAGTATCTGGAAGTGGACATTTGGAGCGCTTTCTGAACTATGGTGAAAAAGGAAATATCTTCCAATGAAAACAAGACAGAAGCATTCTGAGAAACTTATTTGTGATGTGTGTCCTCAACAAACGGACTTGAACCTTTCGTTTCATGCAGTACTTCTGGAACACTCTTTTTGAAGATTCTGCATGCGGATATTTGGATAGCTTTGAGGATTTCGTTGGAAACGGCCTTACATGTAAAAATTAGACAGCAGCATTCTCAGAAACTTCTTTGTGGTGTCTGCATTCAAGTCACAGAATTGAACTTCCCCTCACATAGAGCAGTTGTGCAGCACTCTATTTGTAGTATCTGGAAGTGGACATTTGGAGGGCTTTGTAGCCTATCTGGAAAAAGGAAATATCTTCCCATGAATGCGAGATAGAAGTAATCTCAGAAACATGTTTATGCTGTATCTACTCAACTAACTGTGCTGAACATTTCTATTGATAGAGCAGTTTTGAGACACTCTTCCTTTGGAATCTGCAAGTGGATATTTGGATAGATTTGAGGATTTCGTTGGAAACGGGATGATATATAAAAAGTAGACAGCAGCATTCTCAGAAACTTCTTTGTGATGTTTGCATCCAGCTCTCAGAGTTGAACATTCCCTTTCATAGAGTAGGTTTGAAACCCTCTTTTTATAGTGTCTGGAAGCGGGCATTTGGAGCGCTTTCAGGCCTATGCTGAAAAAGGAAATATCTACCTATAGAAACTAGACAGAAGCATTCTGAGAATCACGTTTGTGATGTGGGTACTCAACTAACAGTGTTGATCCATTCTTTTGATACAGCAGTTTTGAACCACACTTTTTGTAGAATCTGGAAGTGGATATTTGGAAAGCTTTGAGGATTTCGTTGGAAACGGGAATGTCTTCATAGAAAATTTAGACGGAAGCATTCTCAGAACCTTGATTGTGATGTGTGTTCTCCACTAACAGAGTTGAACCTTTCTTTTGACAGAACTGTTCTGAAACATTCTTTTTATAGAATCTGGAAGTGGATATTTGGAAAGCTTTGAGGATTTCGTTGGAAACGGGAATATCTTCAAATCAAATCTAGCCAGAAGCATTCTAAGAAACATCTTAGGGATGTTTACATTCAAGTCACAGAGTTGAACATTCCCTTTCACAGAGCAGGTTTGAAACAATCTTCTCGTACTATCTGGCAGTGGACATTTTGAGCTCCTTGGGGCCTATGCTGAAAAAGGAAATATCTTCCGACAAAAACTAGACAGAAGCATTCGCAGAATCACGTTTGTGATGTGTGCACTCAACTGTCAGAATTGAACCTTGGTTTGGACAGAGCACTTTTGAAACACTCTTTTTGTGGAATCTGCAGGTGGATATTTGGCTAGCTTTGAGGATTTCGTTGGAAACGGTAATGTCTTCAAAGAAAATCTAGACAGAAGCATTCTCAGAAACACCTTCGTGATGTTTGCAATCAAGTCACAGAGTTGAACCTTCCGTTTCATAGAGCAGGTTGGAAATACTCTTTTTGTAGTATCTGGAAGTGGACATTTGGAGGGCTTTGTAGCCTATCTGGAAAAAGGAAATATCTTCCCATGAATGCGAGATAGAAGCTATCTCAGGAACTTGTTTATGATGCATCTAATCAACTAACAGTGTTGAACCTTTGTACTGACAGAGCAGTTTGAAACACTCTTTTTTTGGAATCTGCAAGTGGATATTTGGATCACTTTGAGGATTTCGTTGGAAACGGGATGCAATATAAAACGTACACAGCAGCATACTCAGAAAATACTTTGCCATATTTCCATTCAAGTCACAGAGTGGAACATTCCCATTCATAGAGCAGGTTGGAAACACTCTTTTTGGAGTATCTGGAAGTGGACATTTGGAGCGCTTTCTGAACTATGGTGAAAAAGGAAATATCTTCCAATGAAAACAAGACAGAAGCATTCTGAGAAACTTATTTGTGATGTGTGTCCTCAACAAACGGACTTGAACCTTTCGTTTCATGCAGTACTTCTGGAACACTCTTTTTGAAGATTCTGCATGCGGATATTTGGATAGCTTTGAGGATTTCGTTGGAAACGGGCTTACATGTAAAAATTAGACAGCAGCATTCTCAGAAACTTCTTTGTGGTGTCTGCATTCAAGTCACAGAATTGAACATCCCCTCACATAGAGCAGTTGTGCAGCACTCTATTTGTAGTATCTGGAAGTGGACATTTGGAGGGCTTTGTAGCCTATCTGGAAAAAGGAAATATCTTCCCATGAATGCGAGATAGAAGTAATCTCAGAAACATGTTTATGCTGTATCTACTCAACTAACTGTGCTGAACATTTCTATTGATAGAGCAGTTTTGAGACACTCTTCTTTTGGAATCTGCAAGTGGATATTTGGATAGATTTGAGGATTTCGTTGGAAACGGGATTATATATAAAAAGTAGACAGCAGCATTCTCAGAAACTTCTTTGTGATGTTTGCATCCAGCTCTCAGAGTTGAACATTCCCTTTCATAGAGTAGGTTTGAAACCCTCTTTTTATAGTGTCTGGAAGCGGGCATTTGGAGCGCTTTCAGGCCTATGCTGAAAAAGGAAATATCTACCTATAGAAACTAGACAGAAGCATTCTGAGAATCACGTTTGTGATGTGGGTACTCAACTAACAGTGTTGATCCATTCTTTTGATACAGCAGTTTTGAACCACACTTTTTGTAGAATCTGCAAGTGGATATTTGGATAGCTGTGAGGATTTCGTTGGAAACGGGAATGTCTTCATAGAAAATTTAGACAGAAGCATTCTCAGAACCTTGATTGTGATGTGTGTTCTCCACTAACAGAGTTGAACCTTTCTTTTGACAGAACTGTTCTGAAACATTCTTTTTATAGAATCTGGAAGTGGATATTGGGAAAGCTTTGAGGATTTCGTTGGAAACGGGAATATCTTCAAATAAAATCTAGCCAGAAGCATTCTAAGAAACATCTCAGGGATGTTTACATTCAAGTCACAGAGTTGAACATTCCCTTTCACAGAGCAGGTTTGAAACAATCTTCTCGTACTATCTGGCAGTGGACATTTTGAGCTCCTTGGGGCCTATGCTGAAAAAGGAAATATCTTCCGACAAAAACTAGACAGAAGCATTCGCAGAATCACGTTTGTGATGTGTGCACTCAACTGTCAGAATTGAACCTTGGTTTGGACAGAGCACTTTTGAAACACTCTTTTTGTAGAATCTGCAGGTGGATATTTGGCTAGCTTTGAGGATTTCGTTGGAAACGGTAATGTCTTCAAAGAAAATCTAGACAGAAGCATTCTCAGAAACACCTTCGTGATGTTTGCAATCAAGTCACAGAGTTGAACCTTCCGTTTCATAGAGCAGGTTGGAAACACACTTTTTGTAGTATCTGGAAGTGGACATTTGGAGGGCTTTGTAGCCTATCTGGAAAAAGGAAATATCTTCCCATGAATGCGAGATAGAAGTAATCTCAGAAACATGTTTATGCTGTATCTACTCAACTAACTGTGCTGAACATTTCTATTGATAGAGCAGTTTTGAGACACTCTTCTTTTGGAATCTGCAAGTGGATATTTGGATAGATTTGAGGATTTCGTTGGAAACGGGATTATATATAAAAAGTAGACAGCAGCATTCTCAGAAACTTCTTTGTGATGTTTGCATCCAGCTCTCAGAGTTGAACATTCCCTTTCATAGAGTAGGTTTGAAACCCTCTTTTTATAGTGTCTGGAAGCGGGCATTTGGAGCGCTTTCAGGCCTATGCTTAAAATAGGAAATATCTACCTACAGAAACTAGACAGAAGCATTCTGAGAATCACGTTTGTGATGTGGGTACTCAACTAACAGTGTTGATCCATTCTTTTGATACAGCAGTTTTGAACCACACTTTTTGTAGAATCTGCAAGAGGATATTTGGATAGCTGTGAGGATTTCGTTGGAAACGGGAATGTCTTCAAAGAAAATCTAGACAGAAGCATTCTCAGAAACACCTTCGTGATGTTTGCAATCAAGTCACAAAGTTGAACCTTCCGTTTCATAGAGCAGGTTGGAAACACTCTTATTGTAGTATCTGGATGTGGACATTTGGAGCGCTTTCAGGCCTATGGTGAAAAAGGAAATATCTTCCCATAAAAACGACATAGAAGCTATCTCAGGAACTTGTTTATGATGCATCTAATCAACTAACAGTGTTGAACCTTTGTACTGACAGAGCAGTTTGAAACACTCTTTTTTTGGAATCTGCAAGTGGATATTTGGATCGCTTTGAGGATTTCGTTGGAAACGGGATGCAATATAAAACGTACACAGCAGCATACTCAGAAAATACTTTGCCATATTTCCATTCAAGTCACAGAGTGGAACATTCCCATTCATAGAGCAGGTTGGAAACACTCTTTTTGGAGTATCTGGAAGTGGACATTTGGAGCGCTTTCTGAACTATGGTGAAAAAGGAAATATCTTCCAATGAAAACAAGACAGAAGCATTCTGAGAAACTTATTTGTGATGTGTGTCCTCAACAAACGGACTTGAACCTTTCGTTTCATGCAGTACTTCTGGAACACTCTTTTTGAAGATTCTGCATGCGGATATTTGGATAGCTTTGAGGATTTCGTTGGAAACGGGCTTACATGTAAAAATTAGACAGCAGCATTCTCAGAAACTTCTTTGTGGTGTCTGCATTCAAGTCACAGAATTGAACTTCCCCTCACATAGAGCAGTTGTGCAGCACTCTATTTGTAGTATCTGGAAGTGGACATTTGGAGGGCTTTGTAGCCTATGTGGAAAAAGGAAATATCTTCCCATGAATGCGAGATAGAAGTAATCTCAGAAACATGTTTATGCTGTATCTACTCAACTAACTGTGCTGAACATTTCTATTGATAGAGCAGTTTTGAGACACTCTTCTTTTGGAATCTGCAAGTGGATATTTGGATAGATTTGAGGATTTCGTTGGAAACGGGATTATATATAAAAAGTAGACAGCAGCATTCTCAGAAACTTCTTTGTGATGTTTGCATCCAGCTCTCAGAGTTGAACATTCCCTTTCATAGAGTAGGTTTGAAACCCTCTTTTTATAGTGTCTGGAAGCGGGCATTTGGAGCGCTTTCAGGCCTATGCTGAAAAAGGAAATATCTACCTATAGAAACTAGACAGAAGCATTCTGAGAATCACGTTTGTGATGTGGGTACTCAACTAACAGTGTTGATCCATTCTTTTGATACAGCAGTTTTGAACCACACTTTTTGTAGAATCTGCAAGTGGATATTTGGATAGCTGTGAGGATTTCGTTGGAAACGGGAATGTCTTCATAGAAAATTTAGACAGAAGCATTCTCAGAACCTTGATTGTGATGTGTGTTCTCCACTAACAGAGTTGAAACTTTCTTTTGACAGAACTGTTCTGAAACATTCTTTTTATAGAATCTGGAAGTGGATATTTGGAAAGCTTTGAGGATTTCGTTGGAAACGGGAATATCTTCAAATCAAATCTAGCCAGAAGCATTATAAGAAACATCTTAGGGATGTTTACATTCAAGTCACAGAGTTGAACATTCCCTTTCACAGAGCAGGTTTGAAACAATCTTCTCGTACTATCTGGCAGTGGACATTTTGAGCTCCTTGGGGCCTATGCTGAAAAAGGAAATATCTTCCGACAAAAACTAGACAGAAGCATTCGCAGAATCACGTTTGTGATGTGTGCACTCAACTGTCAGAATTGAACCTTGGTTTGGACAGAGCACTTTTGAAACACTCTTTTTGTAGAATCTGCAGGTGGATATTTGGCTAGCTTTGAGGATTTCGTTGGAAACGGTAATGTCTTCAAAGAAAATCTAGACAGAAGCATTCTCAGAAACACCTTCGTGATGTTTGCAATCAAGTCACAGAGTTGAACCTTCCGTTTCATAGAGCAGGTTGGAAACACTCTTTTTGTAGTATCTGGAAGTGGACATTTGGAGGGCTTTGTAGCCTATCTGGAAAAAGGAAATATCTTCCCATGAATGCGAGATAGAAGTAATCTCAGAAAGATGTTTATGCTGTATCTACTCAACTAACTGTGCTGAACATTTCTATTGATAGAGCAGTTTTGAGACACTCTTCTTTTGGAATCTGCAAGTGGATATTTGGATAGATTTGAGGATTTCGTTGGAAACGGGATTATATATCAAAAGTAGACAGCAGCATTCTCAGAAACTTCTTTGTGATGTTTGCATCCAGCTCTCAGAGTTGAACATTCCCTTTCATAGAGTAGGTTTGAAACCCTCTTTTTATAGTGTCTGGAAGCGGGCATTTGGAGCGCTTTCAGGCCTATGCTGAAAAAGGAAATATCTACCTATAGAAACTAGACAGAAGCATTCTGAGAATCACGTTTGTGATGTGGGTACTCAACTAACAGTGTTGATCCATTCTTTTGATACAGCAGTTTTGAACCACACTTTTTGTAGAATCTGCAAGTGGATATTTGGATAGCTGTGAGGATTTCGTTGGAAACGGGAATGTCTTCATAGAAAATTTAGACGGAAGCATTCTCAGAACCTTGATTGTGATGTGTGTTCTCCACTAACAGAGTTGAACCTTTCTTTTGACAGAACTGTTCTGAAACATTCTTTTTATAGAATCTGGAAGTGGATATTTGGAAAGCTTTGAGGATTTCGTTGGAAACGGGAATATCTTCAAATCAAATCTAGCCAGAAGCATTCTAAGAAACATCTTAGGGATGTTTACATTCAAGTCACAGAGTTGAACATTCCCTTTCACAGAGCAGGTTTGAAACAATCTTCTCGTACTATCTGGCAGTGGACATTTTGAGCTCCTTGGGGCCTATGCTGAAAAAGGAAATATCTTCCGACAAAAACTAGACAGAAGCATTCGCAGAATCACGTTTGTGATGTGTGCACTCAACTCTCAGAATTGAACCTTGGTTTGGACAGAGCACTTTTGAAACACTCTTTTTGTAGAATCTGCAGGTGGATATTTGGCTAGCTTTGAGGATTTCGTTGGAAACGGTAATGTCTTCAAAGAAAATCTAGACAGAAGCATTCTCAGAAACACCTTCGTGATGTTTGCAATCAAGTCACAGAGTTGAACCTTCCGTTTCATAGAGCAGGTTGGAAACACTCTTTTTGTAGTATCTGGAAGTGGACATTTGGAGGGCTTTGTAGCCTATCTGGAAAAAGGAAATATCTTCCCATGAATGCGAGATAGAAGTAATCTCAGAAACATGTTTATGCTGTATCTACTCAACTAACTGTGCTGAACATTTCTATTGATAGAGCAGTTTTGAGACACTCTTCTTTTGGAATCTGCAAGTGGATATTTGGATAGATTTGAGGATTTCGTTGGAAACGGGATTATATATCAAAAGTAGACAGCAGCATTCTCAGAAACTTCTTTGTGATGTTTGCATCCAGCTCTCAGAGTTGAACATTCCCTTTCATAGAGTAGGTTTGAAACCCTCTTTTTATAGTGTCTGGAAGCGGGCATTTGGAGCGCTTTCAGGCCTATGCTGAAAAAGGAAATATCTACCTATAGAAACTAGACAGAAGCATTCTGAGAATCACGTTTGTGATGTGGGTACTCAACTAACAGTGTTGATCCATTCTTTTGATACAGCAGTTTTGAACCACACTTTTTGTAGAATCTGCAAGTGGATATTTGGATAGCTGTGAGGATTTCGTTGGAAACGGGAATGTCTTCATAGAAAATTTAGACAGAAGCATTCTCAGAACCTTGATTGTGATGTGTGTTCTCCACTAACAGAGTTGAACCTTTCTTTTGACAGAACTGTTCTGAAACATTCTTTTTATAGAATCTGGAAGTGGATATTTGGAAAGCTTTGAGGATTTCGTTGGAAACGGGAATATCTTCAAATAAAATCTAGCCAGAAGCATTCTAAGAAACATCTTAGGGATGTTTACATTCAAGTCACAGAGTTGAACATTCCCTTTCACAGAGCAGGTTTGAAACAATCTTCTCGTACTATCTGGCAGTGGACATTTTGAGCTCCTTGGGGCCTATGCTGAAAAAGGAAATATCTTCCGACAAAAACTAGACAGAAGCATTCGCAGAATCACGTTTGTGATGTGTGCACTCAACTGTCAGAATTGAACCTTGGTTTGGACAGAGCACTTTTGAAACACTCTTTTTGTAGAATCTGCAGGTGGATATTTGGCTAGCTTTGAGGATTTCGTTGGAAACGGGAATGTCTTCAAAGAAAATCTAGACAGAAGCATTCTCAGAAACACCTTCGTGATGTTTGCAATCAAGTCACAGAGTTGAACCTTCCGTTTCATAGAGCAGGTTGGAAACACTCTTTTTGTAGTATCTGGAAGTGGACATTTGGAGGGCTTTGTAGCCTATGTGGAAAAAGGAAATATCTTCCCATGAATGCGAGATAGAAGTAATCTCAGAAACATGTTTATGCTGTATCTACTCAACTAACTGTGCTGAACATTTCTATTGATAGAGCAGTTTTGAGACACTCTTCTTTTGGAATCTGCAAGTGGATATTTGGATAGATTTGAGGATTTCGTTGGAAACGGGATTATATATAAAAAGTAGACAGCAGCATTCTCAGAAACTTCTTTGTGATGTTTGCATCCAGCTCTCAGAGTTGAACATTCCCTTTCATAGAGTAGGTTTGAAACCCTCTTTTTATAGTGTCTGGAAGCGGGCATTTGGAGCGCTTTCAGACCTATGCTTAAAATAGGAAATATCTACCTACAGAAACTAGACAGAAGCATTCTGAGAATCTCGTTTGTGATGTGGGTACTCAACTAACAGTGTTGATCCATTCTTTTGATACAGCAGTTTTGAACCACACTTTTTGTAGAATCTGCAAGAGGATATTTGGATAGCTGTGAGGATTTCGTTGGAAACGGGAATGTCTTCAAAGAAAATCTAGACAGAAACATTCTCAGAAACACCTTCGTGATGTTTGCAATCAAGTCACAGAGTTGAACCTTCCGTTTCATAGAGCAGGTTGGAAACACTCTTATTGTAGTATCTGGAAGTGGACATTTGGAGCGCTTTCAGGCCTATGGTGAAAAAGGAAATATCTTCCCATAAAAACAACATAGAAGCTATCTCAGGAACTTGTTTATGAGGCATCTAATCAACTAACAGTGTTGAACCTTTGTACTGACAGAGCAGTTTGAAACACTCTTTTTTTGGAATCTGCAAGTGGATATTTGGATCGCTTTGAGGATTTCGTTGGAAACGGGATGCAATATAAAACGTACACAGCAGCATACTCAGAAAATTCTTTGCCATATTTCCATTCAAGTCACAGAGTGGAACATTCCCATTCATAGAGCACGTTGGAAACACTCTTTTTGGAGTATCTGGAAGTGGACATTTGGAGCGCTTTCTGAACTATGGTGAAAAAGGAAATATCTTCCAATGAAAACAAGACAGAAGCATTCTGAGAAACTTATTTGTGATGTGTGTCCTCAACAAACGGACTTGAACCTTTCGTTTCATGCAGTACTTCTGGAACACTCTTTTTGAAGATTCTGCATGCGGATATTTGGATAGCTTTGAGGATTTCGTTGGAAACGGGCTTACATGTAAAAATTAGACAGCAGCATTCTCAGAAACTTCTTTGTGGTGTCTGCATTCAAGTCACAGAATTGAACTTCCCCTCACATAGAGCAGTTGTGCAGCACTCTATTTGTAGTATCTGGAAATGGACATTTGGAGGGCTTTGTAGCCTATGTGGAAAAAGGAAATATCTTCCCATGAATGCGAGATAGAAGTAATCTCAGAACATGTTTATGCTGTATCTACTCAACTAACTGTGCTGAACATTTCTATTGATAGAGCAGTTTTGAGACACTCTTCTTTTGGAATCTGCAAGTGGATATTTGGATAGATTTGAGGATTTCGTTGGAAACGGGATTATATATAAAAAGTAGACAGCAGCATTCTCAGAAACTTCTTTGTGATGTTTGCATCCAGCTCTCAGAGTTGAACATTCCCTTTCATAGAGTAGGTTTGAAACCCTCTTTTTATAGTGTCTGGAAGCGGGCATTTGGAGCGCTTTCAGGCCTATGCTGAAAAAGGAAATATCTACCTATAGAAACTAGACAGAAGCATTCTGAGAATCACGTTTGTGATGTGGGTACTCAACTAACAGTGTTGATCCATTCTTTTGATACAGCAGTTTTGAACCACACTTTTTGTAGAATCTGCAAGTGGATATTTGGATAGCTGTGAGGATTTCGTTGGAAACGGGAATGTCTTCATAGAAAATTTAGACAGAAGCATTCTCAGAACCTTGATTGTGATGTGTGTTCTCCACTAACAGAGTTGAACCTTTCTTTTGACAGAACTGTTCTGAAACATTCTTTTTATAGAATCTGGAAGTGGATATTTGGAAAGCTTTGAGGATTTCGTTGGAAACGGGAATATCTTCAAATAAAATCTAGCCAGAAGCATTCTAAGAAACATCTTAGGGATGTTTACATTCAAGTCACAGAGTTGAACATTCCCTTTCACAGAGCAGGTTTGAAACAATCTTCTCGTACTATCTGGCAGTGGACATTTTGAGCTCCTTGGGGCCTATGCTGAAAAAGGAAATATCTTCCGACAAAAACTAGACAGAAGCATTCGCAGAATCACGTTTGTGATGTGTGCACTCAACTGTCAGAATTGAACCTTGGTTTGGACAGAGCACTTTTGAAACACTCTTTTTGTAGAATCTGCAGGTGGATATTTGGCTAGCTTTGAGGATTTCGTTGGAAACGGTAATGTCTTCAAAGAAAATCTAGACAGAAGCATTCTCAGAAACACCTTCGTGATGTTTGCAATCAAGTCACAGAGTTGAACCTTCCGTTTCATAGAGCAGGTTGGAAACACTCTTTTTGTAGTATCTGGAAGTGGACATTTGGAGGGCTTTGTAGCCTATCTGGAAAAAGGAAATATCTTCCCATGAATGCGAGATAGAAGTAATCTCAGAAACATGTTTATGCTGTATCTACTCAACTAACTGTGCTGAACATTTCTATTGATAGAGCAGTTTTGAGACACTCTTCTTTTGGAATCTGCAAGTGGATATTTGGATAGATTTGAGGATTTCGTTGGAAACGGGATTATATATCAAAAGTAGACAGCAGCATTCTCAGAAACTTCTTTGTGATGTTTGCATCCAGCTCTCAGAGTTGAACATTCCCTTTCATAGAGTAGGTTTGAAACCCTCTTTTTATAGTGTCTGGAAGCGGGCATTTAGAGCGCTTTCAGGCCTATGCTGAAAAAGGAAATATCTACCTATAGAAACTAGACAGAAGCATTCTGAGAATCACGTTTGTGATGTGGGTACTCAACTAACAGTGTTGATCCATTCTTTTGATACAGCAGTTTTGAACCACACTTTTTGTAGAATCTGCAAGTGGATATTTGGATAGCTGTGAGGATTTCGTTGGAAACGGGAATGTCTTCATAGAAAATTTAGACAGAAGCATTCTCAGAACCTTGATTGTGATGTGTGTTCTCCACTAACAGAGTTGAACCTTTCTTTTGACAGAACTGTTCTGAAACATTCTTTTTATAGAATCTGGAAGTGGATATTTGGAAAGCTTTGAGGATTTCGTTGGAAACGGGAATATCTTCAAATCAAATCTAGCCAGAAGCATTCTAAGAAATATCTTAGGGATGTTTACATTCAAGTCACAGAGTTGAACATTCCCTTTCACAGAGCAGGTTTGAAACAATCTTCTCGTACTATCTGGCAGTGGACATTTTGAGCTCCTTGGGGCCTATGCTGAAAAAGGAAATATCTTCCGACAAAAACTAGACAGAAGCATTCGCAGAATCACGTTTGTGATGTGTGCACTCAACTGTCAGAATTGAACCTTGGTTTGGACAGAGCACTTTTGAAACACTCTTTTTGTAGAATCTGCAGGTGGATATTTGGCTAGCTTTGAGGATTTCGTTGGAAACGGTAATGTCTTCAAAGAAAATCTAGACAGAAGCATTCTCAGAAACACCTTCGTGATGTTTGCAATCAAGTCACAGAGTTGAACCTTCCGTTTCATAGAGCAGGTTGGAAACACTCTTTTTGTAGTATCTGGAAGTGGACATTTGGAGGGCTTTGTAGCCTATCTGGAAAAAGGAAATATCTTCCCATGAATGCGAGATAGAAGTAATCTCAGAAACATGTTTATGCTGTATCTACTCAACTAACTGTGCTGAACATTTCTATTGATAGAGCAGTTTTGAGACACTCTTCTTTTGGAATCTGCAAGTGGATATTTGGATAGATTTGAGGATTTCGTTGGAAACGGGATTATATATCAAAAGTAGACAGCAGCATTCTCAGAAACTTCTTTGTGATGTTTGCATCCAGCTCTCAGAGTTGAACATTCCCTTTCATAGAGTAGGTTTGAAACCCTCTTTTTATAGTGTCTGGAAGCGGGCATTTGGAGCGCTTTCAGGCCTATGCTGAAAAAGGAAATATCTACCTATGGAAACTAGACAGAAGCATTCTGAGAATCACGTTTGTGATGTGGGTACTCAACTAACAGTGTTGATCCATTCTTTTGATACAGCAGTTTTGAACCACACTTTTTGTAGAATCTGCAAGTGGATATTTGGATAGCTGTGAGGATTTCGTTGGAAACGGGAATGTCTTCATAGAAAATTTAGACAGAAGCATTCTCAGAACCTTGATTGTGATGTGTGTTCTCCACTAACAGAGTTGAACCTTTCTTTTGACAGAACTGTTCTGAAACATTCTTTTTATAGAATCTGGAAGTGGATATTTGGAAAGCTTTGAGGATTTCGTTGGAAACGGGAATATCTTCAAATCAAATCTAGCCAGAAGCATTCTAAGAAACATCTTAGGGATGTTTACATTCAAGTCACAGAGTTGAACATTCCCTTTCACAGAGCAGGTTTGAAACAATCTTCTCGTACTATCTGGCAGTGGACATTTTGAGCTCCTTGGGGCCTATGCTGAAAAAGGAAATATCTTCCGACAAAAACTAGACAGAAGCATTCGCAGAATCACGTTTGTGATGTGTGCACTCAACTGTCAGAATTGAACCTTGGTTTGGACAGAGCACTTTTGAAACACTCTTTTTGTAGAATCTGCAGGTGGATATTTGGCTAGCTTTGAGGATTTCGTTGGAAACGGTAATGTCTTCAAAGAAAATCTAGACAGAAGCATTCTCAGAAACACCTTCGTGATGTTTGCAATCAAGTCACAGAGTTGAACCTTCCGTTTCATAGAGCAGGTTGGAAACACTCTTTTTGTAGTATCTGGAAGTGGACATTTGGAGGGCTTTGTAGCCTATCTGGAAAAAGGAAATATCTTCCCATGAATGCGAGATAGAAGTAATCTCAGAAACATGTTTATGCTGTATCTACTCAACTAACTGTGCTGAACATTTCTATTGATAGAGCAGTTTTGAGACACTCTTCTTTTGGAATCTGCAAGTGGATATTTGGATAGATTTGAGGATTTCGTTGGAAACGGGATTATATATAAAAAGTAGACAGCAGCATTCTCAGAAACTTCTTTGTGATGTTTGCATCCAGCTCTCAGAGTTGAACATTCCCTTTCATAGAGTAGGTTTGAAACCCTCTTTTTATAGTGTCTGGAAGCGGGCATTTGGAGCGCTTTCAGGCCTATGCTTAAAATAGGAAATATCTACCTACAGAAACTAGACAGAAGCATTCTGAGAATCACGTTTGTGATGTGGGTACTCAACTAACAGTGTTGATCCATTCTTTTGATACAGCAGTTTTGAACCACACTTTTTGTAGAATCTGCAAGAGGATATTTGGATAGCTGTGAGGATTTCGTTGGAAACGGGAATGTCTTCAAAGAAAATCTAGACAGAAGCATTCTCAGAAACACCTTCGTGATGTTTGCAATCAAGTCACAGAGTTGAACCTTCCGTTTCATAGAGCAGGTTGGAAACACTCTTATTGTAGTATCTGGAAGTGGACATTTGGAGCGCTTTCAGGCCTATGGTGAAAAAGGAAATATCTTCCCATAAAAACGACATAGAAGCTATCTCAGGAACTTGTTTATGATGCATCTAATCAACTAACAGTGTTGAACCTTTGTACTGACAGAGCAGTTTGAAACACTCTTTTTTTGGAATCTGCAAGTGGATATTTGGATCGCTTTGAGGATTTCGTTGGAAACGGGATGCAATATAAAACGTACACAGCAGCATACTCAGAAAATACTTTGCCATATTTCCATTCAAGTCACAGAGTGGAACATTCCCATTCATAGAGCAGGTTGGAAACACTCTTTTTGGAGTATCTGGAAGTGGACATTTGGAGCGCTTTCTGAACTATGGTGAAAAAGGAAATATCTTCCAATGAAAACAAGACAGAAGCATTCTGAGAAACTTATTTGTGATGTGTGTCCTCAACAAACGGACTTGAACCTTTCGTTTCATGCAGTACTTCTGGAACACTCTTTTTGAAGATTCTGCATGCGGATATTTGGATAGCTTTGAGGATTTCGTTGGAAACGGTCTTACATGTAAAAATTAGACAGCAGCATTCTCAGAAACTTCTTTGTGGTGTCTGCATTCAAGTCACAGAATTGAACTTCCCCTCACATAGAGCAGTTGTGCAGCACTCTATTTGTAGTATCTGGAAGTGGACATTTGGAGGGCTTTGTAGCCTATCTGGAAAAAGGAAATATCTTCCCATGAATGCGAGATAGAAGTAATCTCAGAAACATGTTTATGCTGTATCTAATCAACTAACTGTGCTGAACATTTCTATTGATAGAGCAGTTTTGAGACACTCTTCTTTTGGAATCTGCAAGTGGATATTTGGATAGATTTGAGGATTTCGTTGGAAACGGGATTATATATAAAAAGTAGACAGCAGCATTCTCAGAAACTTCTTTGTGATGTTTGCATCCAGCTCTCAGAGTTGAACATTCCCTTTCATAGAGTAGGTTTGAAACCCTCTTTTTATAGTGTCTGGAAGCGGGCATTTGGAGCGCTTTCAGGCCTATGCTTAAAATAGGAAATATCTACCTACAGAAACTAGACAGAAGCATTCTGAGAATCACGTTTGTGATGTGGGTACTCAACTAACAGTGTTGATCCATTCTTTTGATACAGCAGTTTTGAACCACACTTTTTGTAGAATCTGCAAGTGGATATTTGGATAGCTGTGAGGATTTCGTTGGAAACGGGAATGTCTTCATAGAAAATTTAGACAGAAGCATTCTCAGAACCTTGATTGTGATGTGTGTTCTCCACTAACAGAGTTGAACCTTTCTTTTGACAGAACTGTTCTGAAACATTCTTTTTATAGAATCTGGAAGTGGATATTTGGAAAGCTTTGAGGATTTCGTTGGAAACGGGAATATCTTCAAATCAAATCTAGCCAGAAGCATTCTAAGAAACAGCTTAGGGATGTTTACATTCAAGTCACAGAGTTGAACATTCCCTTTCACAGAGCAGGTTTGAAACAATCTTCTCGTACTATCTGGCAGTGGACATTTTGAGCTCCTTGGGGCCTATGCTGAAAAAGGAAATATCTTCCGACAAAAACTAGACAGAAGCATTCGCAGAATCACGTTTGTGATGTGTGCACTCAACTGTCAGAATTGAACCTTGGTTTGGACAGAGCACTTTTGAAACACTCTTTTTGTAGAATCTGCAGGTGGATATTTGGCTAGCTTTGAGGATTTCGTTGGAAACGGTAATGTCTTCAAAGAAAATCTAGACAGAAGCATTCTCAGAAACACCTTCGTGATGTTTGCAATCAAGTCACAGAGTTGAACCTTCCGTTTCATAGAGCAGGTTGGAAACACTCTTTTTGTAGTATCTGGAAGTGGACATTTGGAGGGCTTTGTAGCCTATGTGGAAAAAGGAAATATCTTCCCATGAATGCGAGATAGAAGTAATCTCAGAAACATGTTTATGCTGTATCTACTCAACTAACTGTGCTGAACATTTCTATTGATAGAGCAGTTTTGAGACACTCTTCTTTTGGAATCCGCAAGTGGATATTTGGATAGATTTGAGGATTTCGTTGGAAACGGGATTATATATCAAAAGTAGACAGCAGCATTCTCAGAAACTTCTTTGTGATGTTTGCATCCAGCTCTCAGAGTTGAACATTCCCTTTCATAGAGTAGGTTTGAAACCCTCTTTTTATAGTGTCTGGAAGCGGGCATTTGGAGCGCTTTCAGGCCTATGCTTAAAATAGGAAATATCTACCTACAGAAACTAGACAGAAGCATTCTGAGAATCACGTTTGTGATGTGGGTACTCAACTAACAGTGTTGATCCATTCTTTTGATACAGCAGTTTTGAACCACACTTTTTGTAGAATCTGCAAGAGGATATTTGGATAGCTGTGAGGATTTCGTTGGAAACGGGAATGTCTTCAAAGAAAATCTAGACAGAAGCATTCTCAGAAACACCATCGTGATGTTTGCAATCAAGTCACAGAGTTGAACCTTCCGTTTCATAGAGCAGGTTGGAAACACTCTTATTGTAGTATCTGGAAGTGGACATTTGGAGCGCTTTCAGGCCTATGGTGAAAAAGGAAATATCTTCCCATAAAAACGACATAGAAGCTATCTCAGGAACTTGTTTATGATGCATCTAATCAACTAACAGTGTTGAACCTTTGTACTGACAGAGGAGTTTGAAACACTCTTTTTTTGGAATCTGCAAGTGGATATTTGGATCGCTTTGAGGATTTCGTTGGAAACGGGATGCAATATAAAACGTACACAGCAGCATACTCAGAAAATACTTTGCCATATTTCCATTCAAGTCACAGAGTGGAACATTCCCATTCATAGAGCAGGTTGGAAACACTCTTTTTGGAGTATCTGGAAGTGGACATTTGGAGCGCTTTCTGAACTATGGTGAAAAAGGAAATATCTTCCAATGAAAACAAGACAGAAGCATTCTGAGAAACTTATTTGTGATGTGTGTCCTCAACAAACGGACTTGAACCTTTCGTTTCATGCAGTACTTCTGGAACACTCTTTTTGAAGATTCTGCATGCGGATATTTGGATAGCTTTGAGGATTTCGTTGGAAACGGGCTTACATGTAAAAATTAGACAGCAGCATTCTCAGAAACTTCTTTGTGGTGTCTGCATTCAAGTCACAGAATTGAACATCACCTCACATAGAGCAGTTGTGCAGCACTCTATTTGTAGTATCTGGAAGTGGACATTTGGAGGGCTTTGTAGCCTATGTGGAAAAAGGAAATATCTTCCCATGAATGCGAGATAGAAGTAATCTCAGAAACATGTTTATGCTGTATCTACTCAACTAACTGTGCTGAACATTTCTATTGATAGAGCAGTTTTGAGACACTCTTCTTTTGGAATCTGCAAGTGGATATTTGGATAGATTTGAGGATTTCGTTGGAAACGGGATTATATATAAAAAGTAGACAGCAGCATTCTCAGAAACTTCTTTGTGATGTTTGCATCCAGCTCTCAGAGTTGAACATTCCCTTTCATAGAGTAGGTTTGAAACCCTCTTTTTATAGTGTCTGGAAGCGGGCATTTGGAGCGCTTTCAGGCCTATGCTTAAAATAGGAAATATCTACCTACAGAAACTAGACAGAAGCATTCTGAGAATCACGTTTGTGATGTGGGTACTCAACTAACAGTGTTGATCCATTCTTTTGATACAGCAGTTTTGAACCACACTTTTTGTAGAATCTGCAAGAGGATATTTGGATAGCTGTGAGGATTTCGTTGGAAACGGGAATGTCTTCAAAGAAAATCTAGACAGAAGCATTCTCAGAAACACCTTCGTGATGTTTGCAATCAAGTCACAGAGTTGAACCTTCCGTTTCATAGAGCAGGTTGGAAACACTCTTATTGTAGTATCTGGAAGTGGACATTTGGAGCGCTTTCAGGCCTATGGTGAAAAAGGAAATATCTTCCCATAAAAACGACATAGAAGCTATCTCAGGAACTTGTTTATGATGCATCTAATCAACTAACAGTGTTGAACCTTTGTACTGACAGAGCAGTTTGAAACACTCTTTTTTTGGAATCTGCAAGTGGATATTTGGATCGCTTTGAGGATTTCGTTGGAAACGGGATGCAATATAAAACGTACACAGCAGCATACTCAGAAAATACTTTGCCATATTTCCATTCAAGTCACAGAGTGGAACATTCCCATTCATAGAGCAGGTTTGAAACACTCTTTTTGGAGTATCTGGAAGTGGACATTTGGAGCGCTTTCTGAACTATGGTGAAAAAGGAAATATCTTCCAATGAAAACAAGACAGAAGCATTCTGAGAAACTTATTTGTGATGTGTGTCCTCAACAAACGGACTTGAACCTTTCGTTTCATGCAGTACTTCTGGAACACTCTTTTTGAAGATTCTGCATGCGGATATTTGGATAGCTTTGAGGATTTCGTTGGAAACGGGCTTACATGTAAAAATTAGACAGCAGCATTCTCAGAAACTTCTTTGTGGTGTCTGCATTCAAGTCACAGAATTGAACTTCCCCTCACATAGAGCAGTTGTGCAGCACTCTATTTGTAGTATCTGGAAGTGGACATTTGGAGGGCTTTGTAGCCTATCTGGAAAAAGGAAATATCTTCCCATGAATGCGAGATAGAAGTAATCTCAGAAACATGTTTATGCTGTATCTACTCAACTAACTGTGCTGAACATTTCTATTGATAGAGCAGTTTTGAGACCCTCTTCTTTTGGAATCTGCAAGTGGATATTTGGATAGATTTGAGGATTTCGTTGGAAACGGGATTATATATAAAAAGTAGACAGCAGCATTCTCAGAAACTTCTTTGTGATGTTTGCATCCAGCTCTCAGAGTTGAACATTCCCTTTCATAGAGTAGGTTTGAAACCCTCTTTTTATAGTGTCTGGAAGCGGGCATTTGGAGCGCTTTCAGGCCTATGCTGAAAAAGGAAATATCTACATATAGAAACTAGACAGAAGCATTCTGAGAATCACGTTTGTGATGTGGGTACTCAACTAACAGTGTTGATCCATTCTTTTGATACAGCAGTTTTGAACCACACTTTTTGTAGAATCTGCAAGTGGATATTTGGATAGCTGTGAGGATTTCGTTGGAAACGGGAATGTCTTCATAGAAAATTTAGACAGAAGCATTCTCAGAACCTTGATTGTGATGTGTGTTCTCCACTAACAGAGTTGAACCTTTCTTTTGACAGAACTGTTCTGAAACATTCTTTTTATAGAATCTGGAAGTGGATATTTGGAAAGCTTTGAGGATTTCGTTGGAAACGGGAATATCTTCAAATAAAATCTAGCCAGAAGCATTCTAAGAAACATCTTAGGGATGTTTACATTCAAGTCACAGAGTTGAACATTCCCTTTCACAGAGCAGGTTTGAAACAATCTTCTCGTACTATCTGGCAGTGGACATTTTGAGCTCCTTGGGGCCTATGCTGAAAAAGGAAATATCTTCCGACAAAAACTAGACAGAAGCATTCGCAGAATCACGTTTATGATGTGTGCACTCAACTGTCAGAATTGAACCTTGGTTTGGACAGAGCACTTTTGAAACACTCTTTTTGCAGAATCTGCAGGTGGATATTTGACTAGCTTTGAGGATTTCGTTGGAAACGGTAATGTCTTCAAAGAAAATCGAGACAGAAACATTCTCAGAAACACCTTCGTGATGTTTACAATCAAGTCACAGAGTTGAACCTTCCGTTTCATAGAGCAGGTTGGAAACACTCTTTTTGTAGTATCTCGAAGTGGACATTTGGAGCGCTTTCAGGCCTATGGTGAAAAAGGAAATATCTTCCCATAAAAACGACATAGAAGCTATCTCAGGAACTTGTTTATGATGCATCCAATCAACTAACAGTGTTGAACCTTTGTACTGACAGAGCAGTGTGAAACACTCTTTTTTTTGGAATCTGCAAGTGGATATTTGGATCGCTTTGAGGATTTCGTTGGAAACGGGATGCAATATAAAACGTACACAGCAGCATACTCAGAAAATACTTTGCCATATTTCCATTCAAGTCACAGAGTGGAACATTCCCATTCATAGAGCAGGTTGGAAACACTCCTTTTGTAGTATCTGGAAGTGGACATTTGGAGCGCTTTCTGAACTATGGTGAAAAAGGAAATATCTTCCAATGAAAACAAGACAGAAGCATTCTGAGAAACTTATTTGTGATGTGTGTCCTCAACTAACGGACTTGAACCTTTCGTTTCATGCAGTACTTCTGGAACACTCTTTTTGAAGATTCTGCATGCGGATATTTGGATAGCTTTGAGGATTTCGTTGGAAACGGGCTTACATATAAAAATTAGACAGCAGCATTCTCAGAAACTTCTTTGTGGTGTCTGCATTCAAGTCACAGAATTGAACATCCCCTCACATAGAGCAGCTGTGCAGCACTCTATTTGTAGTATCTCGAAGTGGACATTTGGAGGGCTTTGTAGCCTATGTGTAAAAAGGAAATATCTTCCCATGAATGCGAGATAGAAGTAATCTCAGAAACATGTTTATGCTGTATCTACTCAACTAACTGTGCTGAACAATTCTATTGATAGAGCAGTTTTGAGACACTCTTCTTTTGGAATCTGCAAGTGGATATTTGGATAGATTTGAGGATTTCCTTGGAAACGGGATTATATATCAAAAGTAGACAGCAGCATTCTCAGAAACTTCTTTGTGATGTTTGCATCCAGCTCTCAGAGTTGAACATTCCCTTTCGTAGAGTAGGTTTGAAACCCTCTTTTTATAGTGTCTGGAAGCGGGCATTTGGAACGCTTTGAGGCCTATGCTGAAAAAGGAAATATCTACCTATAGAAACTAGACAGAAGCATTCTGAGAATCACGTTTGTGATGTGGGTACTCAACTAACAGTGTTGATCCATTTTTTTGATACAGCAGTTTTGAACCACACTTTTTGTAGAATCTGCAAGTGGATATTTGGATAGCTGTGAGGATTTCCTTGGAAACGGGAATGTCTTCATAGAAAATTTAGACAGAAGCATTCTCAGAACCTTGATTGTGATGTGTGTTCTCCACTAACAGGGTTGAACCTTTCTTTTGACAGAACTGTTTTGAAACATTCTTTTTATAGAATCTGGAAGTGGATATTTGGAAAGCTTTGAGGATTTCATTGGAAACGGGAATATCTTCAAATCAAATCTAGCCAGAAGCATTCTAAGAAACATCTTAGGGATGTGTACATTCAAGTCACAGAGTTGAACATTCCCCTTTCTCAGAGCAGGTTTGAAACAATCTTCTCGTACTATCTGGCAGTGGACATTTTGAGCTCCTTGGGGCCTATGCTGAAAAAGGAAATATCTTTCGACAAAAACTAGACAGAAGCATTCGCAGAATCACGTTTGTGATGTGTGCACTCAACTGTCAGAATTGAACCTTTGTTTGGACAGAGCACTTTTGAAACACTCTTTTTGTAGAATCTGCAGGTGGATATTTGGCTAGCTTTGAGGATTTCGTTGGAAACGGTAATGTCTTCAAAGAAAATCTAGACAGAAACATTCTCAGAAACACCTTCGTGATGTTTGCAATCAAGTCACAGAGTTGAACCTTCCGTTTCATAGAGCAGGTTGGAAACACTCTTTTTGTAGTATCTGGAAGTGGACATTTGGAGCGCTTTCAGGCCTATGGTGAAAAAGGAAATATCTTCCCATAAAAACGACATAGAAGCTATCTCAGGAACTTGTTTATGATGCATCCAATCAACTAACAGTGTTGAACCTTTGTACTGACAGAGCAGTGTGAAACACTCTTTTTTTTGGAATCTGCAAGTGGATATTTGGATCGCTTTGAGGATTTCGTTGGAAACGGGATGCAATATAAAACGTACACAGCAGCATACTCAGAAAATACTTTGCCATATTTCCATTCAAGTCACAGAGTGGAACATTCTCATTCATAGAGCAGGTTGGAAACACTCTTTTTGTAGTATCTGGAAGTGGACATTTGGAGCGCTTTCTGAACTATGGTGAAAAAGGAAATATCTTCCAATGAAAACAAGACAGAATCATTCTGAGAAACTTATTTGTGATGTATGTCCTCAACTAACGGACTTGAACCTTTCGTTTCATGCAGTACTTCTGGAACACTCTTTTTGAATATTCTGCATGCGGATATTTGGATAGCTTTGAGGATTTCGTTGGAAACGGGCTTACATATAAAAATTAGACAGCAGCATTCTCAGAAACTTCTTTGTGGTGTCTGCATTCAAGTCACAGAATTGAACATCCCCTCACATAGAGCAGCTGTGCAGCACTCTATTTGTAGTATCTCGAAGTGGACATTTGGAGGGCTTTGTAGCCTATCTGGAAAAAGGAAATATCTTCCCATGAATGCGAGATAGAAGTAATCTCAGAAACATGTTTATGCTGTATCTACTCAACTAACTGTGCTG
This sequence comes from Homo sapiens, assembly GCF_000001405.40. Classification (NCBI taxonomy): domain Eukaryota; kingdom Metazoa; phylum Chordata; class Mammalia; order Primates; family Hominidae; genus Homo; species Homo sapiens. The sequence continues at coordinate 44,119,627 of NC_000008.11, forward strand.
AACATTTCTATTGATAGAGCAGTTTTGAGACACTCTTCTTTTGGAATCTGCAAGTGGATATTTGGATAGATTTGAGGATTTCCTTGGAAACGGGATTATATATCAAAAGTAGACAGCAGCATTCTCAGAAACTTCTTTGTGATGTTTGCATCCAGCTCTCAGAGTTGAACATTCCCTTTCGTAGAGTAGGTTTGAAACCCTCTTTTTATAGTGTCTGGAAGCGGGCATTTGGAGCGCTTTCAGGCCTATGCTGAAAAAGGAAATATCTACCTATAGAAACTAGACAGAAGCATTCTGAGAATCACGTTGGTGATGTGGGTACTCAACTAACAGTGTTGATCCATTCTTTTGATACAGCAGTTTTGAACCACACTTTTTGTAGAATCTGCAAGTGGATATTTGGATAGCTGTGAGGATTTCCTTGGAAACGGGAATGTCTTCATAGAAAATTTAGACAGAAGCATTCTCAGAACCTTGATTGTGATGTGTGTTGTCCAATAACAGGGTTGAACCTTTCTTTTGACAGAACTGTTTTGAAACATACTTTTTATAGAATCTGGAAGTGGATATTTGGAAAGCTTTGAGGATTTCGTTGGAAACGGGAATATCTTCAAATAAAATCTAGCCAGAAGCATTCTAAGAAACATCTTAGGGATGTTTACATTCAAGTCACAGAGTTGAACATTCCCTTTCACAGAGCAGGTTTGAAACAATCTTCTCGTACTATCTGGAAGTGGACATTTTGAGCTCCTTGGGGCCTATGCTGAGAAAGGAAATATCTTCCGACAAAAACTAGACAGAAGCATTCGCAGAATCACGTTTGTGATGTGTGCACTCAACTGTCAGAATTGAACCTTGGTTTGGACAGAGCACTTTTGAAACACTCTTTTTGTAGAATCTGCAGGTGGATATTTGGCTAGCTTTGAGGATTTCGTTGGAAACGATAATGTCTTCAAAGAAAATCTAGACAGAATCATTCTCAGAAACACTTTCGTGTTGTTTGCAATCAAGTCACAGAGTTGAACCTTCCGTTTCATAGAGCAGGTTGGAAACACTCTTTTTGTAGTATCTGGAAGTGGACATTTGGAGCGCTTTCAGGCCTACGGTGAAAAAGGAAATATCTTCCCATAAAAACGACATAGAAGCTATCTCAGGAACTTGTTTATGATGCATCCAATCAACTAACAGTGTTGAACCTTTGTACTGACAGAGCAGTGTGAAACACTCTTTTTTTTGGAATCTGCAAGTGTATATTTGGATCGCTTTGAGGATTTCGTTGGAAACGGGATGCAATATAAAACGTACACAGCAGCATACTCAGAAAATACTTTGCCATATTTCCATTCAAGTCACAGAGTGGAACATTCCCATTCATAAAGCAGGTTGGAAACACTCCTTTTGTAGTATCTGGAAGTGGACCTTTGGAGCGCTTTCTGAACTATGGTGAAAAAGGAAATATCTTCCAATGAAAACAAGACAGAAGCATTCTGAGAAACTTATTTGTGATGTGTGTCCTCAACAAACGGACTTGAACCTTTCGTTTCATGCAGTACTTCTGGAACACTCTTTTTGAAGATTCTGCATGCGGATATTTGGATAGCTTTGAGGATTTCGTTGGAAACGGGCTTACATGTAAAAATTAGACAGCAGCATTCTCAGAAACTTCTTTGTGGTGTCTGCATTCAAGTCACAGAATTGAACATCCCCTCACATAGAGCAGTTGTGCAGCACTCTATTTGTAGTATCTGGAAGTGGACATTTGGAGGGCTTTGTAGCCTATCTGGAAAAAGGAAATATCTTCCCATGAATGCGAGATAGAAGTAATCTCAGAAACATGTTTATGCTGTATCTACTCAACTAACTGTGCTGAACATTTCTATTGATAGAGCAGTTTTGAGACACTCTTCTTTTGGAATCTGCAAGTGGATATTTGGATAGATTTGAGGATTTCGTTGGAAACGGGATTATATATAAAAAGTAGACAGCAGCATTCTCAGAAACTTCTTTGTGATGTTTGCATCCAGCTCTCAGAGTTGAACATTCCCTTTCATAGAGTAGGTTTGAAACCCTCTTTTTATAGTGTCTGGAAGCGGGCATTTGGAGCGCTTTCAGGCCTATGCTGAAAAAGGAAATATCTACCTATAGAAACTAGACAGAAGCATTCTGAGAATCACGTTTGTGATGTGGGTACTCAACTAACAGTGTTGATCCATTCTTTTGATACAGCAGTTTTGAACCACACTTTTTGTAGAATCTGCAAGTGGATATTTGGATAGCTGTGAGGATTTCGTTGGAAACGGGAATGTCTTCATAGAAAATTTAGACAGAAGCATTCTCAGAACCTTGATTGTGATGTGTGTTCTCCACTAACAGAGTTGAACCTTTCTTTTGACAGAACTGTTCTGAAACATTCTTTTTATAGAATCTGGAAGTGGATATTTGGAAAGCTTTGAGGATTTCGTTGGAAACGGGAATATCTTCAAATCAAATCTAGCCAGAAGCATTCTAAGAAACATCTTAGGGATGTTTACATTCAAGTCACAGAGTTGAACATTCCCTTTCACAGAGCAGGTTTGAAACAATCTTCTCGTACTATCTGGCAGTGGACATTTTGAGCTCCTTGGGGCCTATGCTGAAAAAGGAAATATCTTCCGACAAAAACTAGACAGAAGCATTCGCAGAATCACGTTTGTGATGTGTGCACTCAACTGTCAGAATTGAACCTTGGTTTGGACAGAGCACTTTTGAAACACTCTTTTTGTAGAATCTGCAGGTGGATATTTGGCTAGCTTTGAGGATTTCGTTGGAAACGGTAATGTCTTCAAAGAAAATCTAGACAGAAGCATTCTCAGAAACACCTTCGTGATGTTTGCAATCAAGTCACAGAGTTGAACCTTCCGTTTCATAGAGCAGGTTGGAAACACTCTTTTTGTAGTATCTGGAAGTGGACATTTGGAGGGCTTTGTAGCCTATGTGGAAAAAGGAAATATCTTCCCATGAATGCGAGATAGAAGTAATCTCAGAAACATGTTTATGCTGTATCTACTCAACTAACTGTGCTGAACATTTCTATTGATAGAGCAGTTTTGAGACACTCTTCTTTTGGAATCTGCAAGTGGATATTTGGAGAGATTTGAGGATTTCGTTGGAAACGGGATTATATATAAAAAGTAGACAGCAGCATTCTCAGAAACTTCTTTGTGATGTTTGCATCCAGCTCTCAGAGTTGAACATTCCCTTTCATAGAGTAGGTTTGAAACCCTCTTTTTATAGTGTCTGGAAGCGGGCATTTGGAGCGCTTTCAGGCCTATGCTTAAAATAGGAAATATCTACCTACAGAAACTAGACAGAAGCATTCTGAGAATCTCGTTTGTGATGTGGGTACTCAACTAACAGTGTTGATCCATTCTTTTGATACAGCAGTTTTGAACCACACTTTTTGTAGAATCTGCAAGAGGATATTTGGATAGCTGTGAGGATTTCGTTGGAAACGGGAATGTCTTCAAAGAAAATCTAGACAGAATCATTCTGAGGAACACCTTCGTGATGTTTGCAATCAAGTCACAGAGTTGAACCTTCCGTTTCATAGAGCAGGTTGGAAACACTCTTATTGTAGTATCTGGAAGTGGACATTTGGAGCGCTTTCAGGCCTATGGTGAAAAAGGAAATATCTTCCCATAAAAACGACATAGAAGCTGTCTCAGGAACTTGTTTATGATGCATCTAATCAACTAACAGTGTTGAACCTTTGTACTGACAGAGCAGTTTGAAACACTCTTTTTTTGGAATCTGCAAGTGGATATTTGGATCGCTTTGAGGATTTTGTTGGAAACGGGATGCAATATAAAACGTAAACAGCAGCATACTCAGAAAATACTTTGCCATATTTCCATTCAAGTCACAGAGTGGAACATTCACATTCATAGAGCAGGTTTGAAACACTCTTTTTGGAGTATCTGGAAGTGGACATTTGGAGCGCTTTCTGAACTATGGTGAAAAAGGAAATATCTTCCAATGAAAACAAGACAGAAGCATTCTGAGAAACTTATTTGTGATGTGTGTCCTCAACAAACGGACTTGAACCTTTCGTTTCATGCAGTACTTCTGGAACACTCTTTTTGAAGATTCTGCATGCGGATATTTGGATAGCTTTGAGGATTTCGTTGGAAACGGGCTTACATGTAAAAATTAGACAGCAGCATTCTCAGAAACTTCTTTGTGGTGTCTGCATTCAAGTCACAGAATTGAACTTCCCCTCACATAGAGCAGTTGTGCAGCACTCTATTTGTAGTATCTGGAAGTGGACATTTGGAGGGCTTTGTAGCCTATCTGGAAAAAGGAAATATCTTCCCATGAATGCGAGATAGAAGTAATCTCAGAAACATGTTTATGCTGTATCTACTCAACTAACTGTGCTGAACATTTCTATTGATAGAGCAGTTTTGAGACACTCTTCTTTTGGAATCTGCAAGTGGATATTTGGATAGATTTGAGGATTTCGTTGGAAACGGGATTATATATAAAAAGTAGACAGCAGCATTCTCAGAAACTTCTTTGTGATGTTTGCATCCAGCTCTCAGAGTTGAACATTCCCTTTCATAGAGTAGGTTTGAAACCCTCTTTTTATAGTGTCTGGAAGCGGGCATTTGGAGCGCTTTCAGGCCTATGCTTAAAATAGGAAATATCTACCTATAGAAACTAGACAGAAGCATTCTGAGAATCACGTTTGTGATGTGGGTACTCAACTAACAGTGTTGATCCATTCTTTTGATACAGCAGTTTTGAACCACACTTTTTGTAGAATCTGCAAGTGGATATTTGGATAGCTGTGAGGATTTCGTTGGAAACGGGAATGTCTTCATAGAAAATTTAGACAGAAGCATTCTCAGAACCTTGATTGTGATGTGTGTTCTCCACTAACAGAGTTGAACCTTTCTTTTGACAGAACTGTTCTGAAACATTCTTTTTATAGAATCTGGAAGTGGATATTTGGAAAGCTTTGAGGATTTCGTTGGAAACGGGAATATCTTCAAATCAAATCTAGCCAGAAGCATTCTAAGAAACATCTTAGGGATGTTTACATTCAAGTCACAGAGTTGAACATTCCCTTTCACAGAGCAGGTTTGAAACAATCTTCTCGTACTATCTGGCAGTGGACATTTTGAGCTCCTTGGGGCCTATGCTGAAAAAGGAAATATCTTCCGACAAAAACTAGACAGAAGCATTCGCAGAATCACGTTTGTGATGTGTGCACTCAACTGTCAGAATTGAACCTTGGTTTGGACAGAGCACTTTTGAAACACTCTTTTTGTAGAATCTGCAGGTGGATATTTGGCTAGCTTTGAGGATTTCGTTGGAAACGGGAATGTCTTCAAAGAAAATCTAGACAGAAGCATTCTCAGAAACACCTTCGTGATGTTTGCAATCAAGTCACAGAGTTGAACCTTCCGTTTCATAGAGCAGGTTGGAAACACTCTTTTTGTAGTATCTGGAAGTGGACATTTGGAGGGCTTTGTAGCCTATCTGGAAAAAGGAAATATCTTCCCATGAATGCGAGATAGAAGTAATCTCAGAAACATGCTTATGCTGTATCTACTCAACTAACTGTGCTGAACATTTCTATTGATAGAGCAGTTTTGAGACACTCTTCTTTTGGAATCTGCAAGTGGATATTTGGAGAGATTTGAGGATTTCGTTGGAAACGGGATTATATATAAAAAGTAGACAGCAGCATTCTCAGAAACTTCTTTGTGATGTTTGCATCCAGCTCTCAGAGTTGAACATTCCCTTTCATAGAGTAGGTTTGAAACCCTCTTTTTATAGTGTCTGCAAGCGGGCATTTGGAGCGCTTTCAGGCCTATGCTTAAAATAGGAAATATCTACCTACAGAAACTAGACAGAAGCATTCTGAGAATCACGTTTGTGATGTGGGTACTCAACTAACAGTGTTGATCCATTCTTTTGATACAGCAGTTTTGAACCACACTTTTTGTAGAATCTGCAAGAGGATATTTGGATAGCTGTGAGGATTTCGTTGGAAACGGGAATGTCTTCAAAGAAAATCTAGACAGAAGCATTCTCAGAAACACCTTCGTGATGTTTGCAATCAAGTCACAGAGTTGAACCTTCCGTTTCATAGAGCAGTTTGGAAACACTCTTATTGTAGTATCTGGAAGTGGACATTTGGAGCGCTTTCAGGCCTATGGTGAAAAAGGAAATATCTTCCCATAAAAACGACATAGAAGCTATCTCAGGAACTTGTTTATGATGCATCTAATCAACTAACAGTGTTGAACCTTTGTACTGACAGAGCAGTTTGAAACACTCTTTTTTTGGAATCTGCAAGTGGATATTTGGATCGCTTTGAGGATTTCGTTGGAAACGGGATGCAATATAAAACGTACACAGCAGCATACTCAGAAAATACTTTGCCATATTTCCATTCAAGTCACAGAGCGGAACATTCCCATTCATAGAGCAGGTTTGAAACACTCTTTTTGGAGTATCTGGAAGTGGACATTTGGAGCGCTTTCTGAACTATGGTGAAAAAGGAAATATCTTCCAATGAAAACAAGACAGAAGCATTCTGAGAAACTTATTTGTGATGTGTGTCCTCAACAAACGGACTTGAACCTTTCGTTTCATGCAGTACTTCTGGAACACTCTTTTTGAAGATTCTGCATGCGGATATTTGGATAGCTTTGAGGATTTCGTTGGAAACGGGCTTACATGTAAAAATTAGACAGCAGCATTCTCAGAAACTTCTTTGTGGTGTCTGCATTCAAGTCACAGAATTGAACTTCCCCTCACATAGAGCAGTTGTGCAGCACTCTATTTGTAGTATCTGGAAGTGGACATTTGGAGGGCTTTGTAGCCTATCTGGAAAAAGGAAATATCTTCCCATGAATGCGAGATAGAAGTAATCTCAGAAACATGTTTATGCTGTATCTACTCAACTAACTGTGCTGAACATTTCTATTGATAGAGCAGTTTTGAGACCCTCTTCTTTTGGAATCTGCAAGTGGATATTTGGATAGATTTGAGGATTTCGTTGGAAACGGGATTATATATAAAAAGTAGACAGCAGCATTCTCAGAAACTTCTTTGTGATGTTTGCATCCAGCTCTCAGAGTTGAACATTCCCTTTCATAGAGTAGGTTTGAAACCCTCTTTTTATAGTGTCTGGAAGCGGGCATTTGGAGCGCTTTCAGGCCTATGCTGAAAAAGGAGATATCTACCTATAGAAACTAGACAGAAGCATTCTGAGAATCACGTTTGTGATGTGGGTACTCAACTAACAGTGTTGATCCATTCTTTTGATACAGCAGTTTTGAACCACACTTTTTGTAGAATCTGCAAGTGGATATTTGGATAGCTGTGAGGATTTCGTTGGAAACGGGAATGTCTTCATAGAAAATTTAGACAGAAGCATTCTCAGAACCTTGATTGTGATGTGTGTTCTCCACTAACAGAGTTGAACCTTTCTTTTGACAGAACTGTTCTGAAACATTCTTTTTATAGAATCTGGAAGTGGATATTTGGAAAGCTTTGAGGATTTCGTTGGAAACGGGAATATCTTCAAATAAAATCTAGCCAGAAGCATTCTAAGAAACATCTTAGGGATGTTTACATTCAAGTCACAGAGTTGAACATTCCCTTTCACAGAGCAGGTTTGAAACAATCTTCTCGTACTATCTGGCAGTGGACATTTTGAGCTCTTTGGGGCCTATGCTGAAAAAGGAAATATCTTCCGACAAAAACTAGTCAGAAGCATTCGCAGAATCCCGTTTGTGATGTGTGCACTCAACTGTCAGAATTGAACCTTGGTTTGGAGAGAGCACTTTTGAAACACAGTTTTTGTAGAATCTGCAGGTGGATATTTGGCTAGCTTTGAGGATTTCGTTGGAAACGGTAATGTCTTCAAAGAAAATCTAGACAGAAGCATTCTCAGAAACAACTTCGTGATGTTTGCAATCAAGTCACAGAGTTGAACCTTCCGTTTCATAGAGCAGGTTGGAAACACTCTTTTTGTAGTATCTGGAAGTGGACATTTGGAGGGCTTTGTAGCCTATCTGGAAAAAGGAAATATCTTCCCATGAATGCGAGATAGAAGTAATCTCAGAAACATGTTTATGCTGTATCTACTCAACTAACTGTGCTGAACATTTCTATTGATAGAGCAGTTTTGAGACACTCTTCTTTTGGAATCTGCAAGTGGATATTTGGATAGATTTGAGGATTTCGTTGGAAACGGGATTATATATAAAAAGTAGACAGCAGCATTCTCAGAAACTTCTTTGTGATGTTTGCATCCAGCTCTCAGAGTTGAGCATTCCCTTTCATAGAGTAGGTTTGAAACCCTCTTTTTATAGTGTCTGGAAGCGGGCATTTGGAGCGCTTTCAGGCCTATGCTTAAAATAGGAAATATCTACCTACAGAAACTAGACAGAAGCATTCTGAGAATCACGTTTGTGATGTGGGTACTCAACTAACAGTGTTGATCCATTCTTTTGATACAGCAGTTTTGAACCACACTTTTTGTAGAATCTGCAAGTGGATATTTGGATAGCTGTGAGGATTTCGTTGGAAACGGTAATGTCTTCAAAGAAAATCTAGACAGAAGCATTCTCAGAAACACCTTCGTGATGTTTGCAATCAAGTCACAGAGTTGAACCTTCCGTTTCATAGAGCAGGTTGGAAACACTCTTTTTGTAGTATCTGGAAGTGGACATTTGGAGCGCTTTCAGGCCTATGGTGAAAAAGGAAATATCTTCCCATAAAAACGACATAGAAGCTATCTCAGGAACTTGTTTATGATGCATCTAATCAACTAACAGTGTTGAACCTTTGTACTGACAGAGCAGTTTGAAACACTCTTTTTTTGGAATCTGCAAGTGGATATTTGGATCGCTTTGAGGATTTCGTTGGAAACGGGATGCAATATAAAACGTACACAGCAGCATACTCAGAAAATACTTTGCCATATTTCCATTCAAGTCACAGAGTGGAACATTCCCATTCATAGAGCAGGTTTGAAACACTCTTTTTGGAGTATCTGGAAGTGGACATTTGGAGCGCTTTCTGAACTATGGTGAAAAAGGAAATATCTTCCAATGAAAACAACACAGAAGCATTCTGAGAAACTTATTTGTGATGTGTGTCCTCAACAAACGGACTTGAATCTTTCGTTTCATGCAGTACTTCTGGAACACTCTTTTTGAAGATTCTGCATGCGGATATTTGGATAGCTTTGAGGATTTCGTTGGAAACGGGCTTACATGTAAAAATTAGACAGCAGCATTCTCAGAAACTTCTTTGTGGTGTCTGCATTCAAGTCACAGAATTGAACATCCCCTCACATAGAGCAGTTGTGCAGCACTCTATTTGTAGTATCTGGAAGTGGACATTTGGAGGGCTTTGTAGCCTATCTGGAAAAAGGAAATATCTTCCCATGAATGCGAGATAGAAGTAATCTCAGAAACATGTTTATGCTGTATCTACTCAACTAACTGTGCTGAACATTTCTATTGATAGAGCAGTTTTGAGACACTCTTCTTTTGGAATCTGCAAGTGGATATTTGGATAGATTTGAGGATTTCGTTGGAAACGGGATTATATATAAAAAGTAGACAGCAGCATTCTCAGAAACTTCTTTGTGATGTTTGCATCCAGCTCTCAGAGTTGAACATTCCCTTTCATAGAGTAGGTTTGAAACCCTCTTTTTATAGTGTCTGGAAGCGGGCATTTGGAGCGCTTTCAGGCCTATGCTGAAAAAGGAAATATCTACCTATAGAAACTAGACAGAAGCATTCTGAGAATCACGTTTGTGATGTGGGTACTCAACTAACAGTGTTGATCCATTCTTTTGATACAGCAGTTTTGAACCACACTTTTTGTAGAATCTGCAAGTGGATATTTGGATAGCTGTGAGGATTTCGTTGGAAACGGGAATGTCTTCATAGAAAATTTAGACAGAAGCATTCTCAGAACCTTGATTGTGATGTGTGTTCTCCACTAACAGAGTTGAACCTTTCTTTTGACAGAACTGTTCTGAAACATTCTTTTTATAGAATCTGGAAGTGGATATTTGGAAAGCTTTGAGGATTTCGTTGGAAACGGGAATATCTTCAAATCAAATCTAGCCAGAAGCATTCTAAGAAACAGCTTAGGGATGTTTACATTCAAGTCACAGAGTTGAACATTCCCTTTCACAGAGCAGGTTTGAAACAATCTTCTCGTACTATCTGGCAGTGGACATTTTGAGCTCCTTGGGGCCTATGCTGAAAAAGGAAATATCTTCCGACAAAAACTAGACAGAAGCATTCGCAGAATCACGTTTGTGATGTGTGCACTCAACTGTCAGAATTGAACCTTGGTTTGGAGAGAGCACTCTTGAAACACTCTTTTTGTAGAATCTGCAGGTGGATATTTGGCTAGCTTTGAGGATTTCGTTGGAAACGGGAATGTCTTCAAAGAAAATCTAGACAGAAGCATTCTCAGAAACACCTTCGTGATGTTTGCAATCAAGTCACAGAGTTGAACCTTCCGTTTCATAGAGCAGGTTGGAAACACTCTTATTGTAGTATCTGGAAGTGGACATTTGGAGCGCTTTCAGGCCTATGGTGAAAAAGGAAATATCTTCCCATAAAAACGACATAGAAGCTATCTCAGGAACTTGTTTATGATGCATCTAATCAACTAACAGTGTTGAACCTTTGTACTGACAGAGCACTTTGAAACACTCTTTTTTTGGAATCTGCAAGTGGATATTTGGATCGCTTTGAGGATTTCGTTGGAAACGGGATGCAATATAAAACGTACACAGCAGCATACTCAGAAAATACTTTGCCATATTTCCATTCAAGTCACAGAGTGGAACATTCCCATTCATAGAGCAGGTTGGAAACACTCTTTTTGGAGTATCTGGAAGTGGACATTTGGAGCGCTTTCTGAACTATGGTGAAAAAGGAAATATCTTCCAATGAAAACAAGACAGAAGCATTCTGAGAAACTTATTTGTGATGTGTGTCCTCAACAAACGGACTTGAACCTTTCGTTTCATGCAGTACTTCTGGAACACTCTTTTTGAAGATTCTGCATGCGGATATTTGGATAGCTTTGAGGATTTCGTTGGAAACGGGCTTACATGTAAAAATTAGACAGCAGCATTCTCAGAAACTTCTTTGTGGTGTCTGCATTCAAGTCACAGAATTGAACTTCCCCTCACATAGAGCAGTTGTGCAGCACTCTATTTGTAGTATCTGGAAGTGGACATTTGGAGGGCTTTGTAGCCTATCTGGAAAAAGGAAATATCTTCCCATGAATGCGAGATAGAAGTAATCTCAGAAACATGTTTATGCTGTATCTACTCAACTAACTGTGCTGAACATTTCTATTGATAGAGCAGTTTTGAGACCCTCTTCTTTTGGAATCTGCAAGTGGATATTTGGATAGATTTGAGGATTTCGTTGGAAACGGGATTATATATAAAAAGTAGACAGCAGCATTCTCAGAAACTTCTTTGTGATGTTTGCATCCAGCTCTCAGAGTTGAACATTCCCTTTCATAGAGTAGGTTTGAAACCCTCTTTTTATAGTGTCTGGAAGCGGGCATTTGGAGCGCTTTCAGGCCTATGCTGAAAAAGGAAATATCTACATATAGAAACTAGACAGAAGCATTCTGAGAATCAAGTTTGTGATGTGGGTACTCAACTAACAGTGTTGATCCATTCTTTTGATACAGCAGTTTTGAACCACACTTTTTGTAGAATCTGCAAGTGGATATTTGGATAGCTGTGAGGATTTCGTTGGAAACGGGAATGTCTTCATAGAAAATTTAGACAGAAGCATTCTCAGAACCTTGATTGTGATGTGTGTTCTCCACTAACAGAGTTGAACCTTTCTTTTGACAGAACTGTTCTGAAACATTCTTTTTATAGAATCTGGAAGTGGATATTTGGAAAGCTTTGAGGATTTCGTTGGAAACGGGAATATCTTCAAATAAAATCTAGCCAGAAGCATTCTAAGAAACATCTTAGGGATGTTTACATTCAAGTCACAGAGTTGAACATTCCCTTTCACAGAGCAGGTTTGAAACAATCTTCTCGTACTATCTGGCAGTGGACATTTTGAGCTCTTTGGGGCCTATGCTGAAAAAGGAAATATCTTCCGACAAAAACTAGTCAGAAGCATTCGCAGAATCACGTTTGTGATGTGTGCACTCAACTGTCAGAATTGAACCTTGGTTTGGAGAGAGCACTTTTGAAACACACTTTTTGTAGAATCTGCAGGTGGATATTTGGCTAGCTTTGAGGATTTCGTTGGAAACGGTAATGTCTTCAAAGAAAATCTAGACAGAAGCATTCTCAGAAATACCTTCGTGATGTTTGCAATCAAGTCACAGAGTTGAACCTTCCGTTTCATAGAGCAGGTTGGAAACACACTTTTTGTAGTATCTGGAAGTGGACATTTGGAGGGCTTTGTAGCCTATCTGGAAAAAGGAAATATCTTCCCATGAATGCGAGATAGATGTAATCTCAGAAACATGTTTATGCTGTATCTACTCAACTAACTGTGCTGAACATTTCTATTGATAGAGCAGTTTTGAGACACTCTTCTTTTGGAATCTGCAAGTGGATATTTGGATAGATTTGAGGATTTCGTTGGAAACGGGATTATATATAAAAAGTAGACAGCAGCATTCTCAGAAACTTCTTTGTGATGTTTGCATCCAGCTCTCAGAGTTGAACATTCCCTTTCATAGAGTAGGTTTGAAACCCTCTTTTTATAGTGTCTGGAAGCGGGCATTTGGAGCGCTTTCAGGCCTATGCTGAAAAAGGAAATATCTACCTATAGAAACTAGACAGAAGCATTCTGAGAATCACGTTTGTGATGTGGGTACTCAACTAACAGTGTTGATCCATTCTTTTGATACAGCAGTTTTGAACCACACTTTTTGTAGAATCTGCAAGTGGATATTTGGATAGCTGTGAGGATTTCGTTGGAAACGGGAATGTCTTCATAGAAAATTTAGACAGAAGCATTCTCAGAACCTTGATTGTGATGTGTGTTCTCCACTAACAGAGTTGAACCTTTCTTTTGACAGAACTGTTCTGAAACATTCTTTTTATAGAATCTGGAAGTGGATATTTGGAAAGCTTTGAGGATTTCGTTGGAAACGGGAATATCTTCAAATAAAATCTAGCCAGAAGCATTCTAAGAAACATCTTAGGGATGTTTACATTCAAGTCACAGAGTTGAACATTCCCTTTCACAGAGCAGGTTTGAAACAATCTTCTCGTACTATCTGGCAGTGGACATTTTGAGCTCCTTGGGGCCTATGCTGAAAAAGGAAATATCTTCCGACAAAAACTAGACAGAAGCATTCGCAGAATCACGTTTGTGATGTGTGCACTCAACTGTCAGAATTGAACCTTGGTTTGGAGAGAGCACTTTTGAAACACACTTTTTGTAGAATCTGCAGGTGGATATTTGGCTAGCTTTGAGGATTTCGTTGGAAACGGTAATGTCTTCAAAGAAAATACTAGACAGAAACATCCTCAGAAACACCTTCGTGATGTTTGCAATCAAGTCACAGAGTTGAACCTTCCGTTTCATAGAGCAGGTTGGAAACACTCATTTTGTAGTATCTGGAAGTGGACATTTGGAGCGCTTTCAGGCCTATGGTGTAAAAGGAAATATCTTCCCATAAAAGCGACATAGAAGCTATCTCAGGAACTTGTTTATGATGCATCTAATCAACTAACAGTGTTGAACCTTTGTACTGACAGAGCAGTTTGAAACACTCTTTTTTTGGAATCTGCAAGTGGATATTTGGATCGCTTTGAGGATTTCGTTGGAAACGGGATGAATATCAAACGTACACAGCAGCATACTCAGAAAATACTTTGCCATGTTTCCATTCAAGTCACAGAGTGGAACATTCCCATTCATAGAGCAGGTTGGAAACACTCTTTTTGGAGTATCTGGAAGTGGACATTTGGAGCGCTTTCTGAACTATGGTGAAAAAGGAAATATCTTCCAATGAAAACAAGACAGAAGCATTCTGAGAAACTTATTTGTGATGTGTGTCCTCAACAAACGGACTTGAACCTTTCGTTTCATGCAGTACTTCTGGAACACTCTTTTTGAAGATTCTGCATGCGGATATTTGGATAGCTTTGAGGATTTCGTTGGAAACGGCCTTACATGTAAAAATTAGACAGCAGCATTCTCAGAAACTTCTTTGTGGTGTCTGCATTCAAGTCACAGAATTGAACTTCCCCTCACATAGAGCAGTTGTGCAGCACTCTATTTGTAGTATCTGGAAGTGGACATTTGGAGGGCTTTGTAGCCTATCTGGAAAAAGGAAATATCTTCCCATGAATGCGAGATAGAAGTAAGCTCAGAAACATGTTTATGCTGTATCTACTCAACTAACTGTGCTGAACATTTCTATTGATAGAGCAGTTTTGAGACACTCTTCTTTTGGAATGTGCAAGTGGATATTTGGATAGATTTGAGGATTTCGTTGGAAACGGGATTATATATAAAAAGTAGACAGCAGCATTCTCAGAAACTTCTTTGTGATGTTTGCATCCAGCTCTCAGAGTTGAACATTCCCTTTCATAGAGTAGGTTTGAAACCCTCTTTTTATAGTGTCTGGAAGCGGGCATTTGGAGCGCTTTCAGGCCTATGCTTAAAATAGGAAATATCTACCTACAGAAACTAGACAGAAGCATTCTGAGAATCACGTTTGTGATGTGGGTACTCAACTAACAGTGTTGATCCATTCTTTTGATACAGCAGTTTTGAACCACACTTTTTGTAGAATCTGCAAGAGGATATTTGGATAGCTGTGAGGATTTCGTTGGAAACGGGGATGTCTTCAAAGAAAATCTAGACAGAAGCATTCTCAGAAACACCTTCGTGATGTTTGCAATCAAGTCACAGAGTTGAACCTTCCGTTTCATAGAGCAGGTTGGAAACACTCTTATTGTAGTATCTGGAAGTGGACATTTGGAGCGCTTTCAGGCCTATGGTGAAAAAGGAAATATATTCCCATAAAAACGACATAGAAGCTATCTCAGGAACTTGTTTATGATGCATCTAATCAACTAACAGTGTTGAACCTTTGTACTGACAGAGCAGTTTGAAACACTCTTTTTTTGGAATCTGCAAGTGGATATTTGGATCGCTTTGAGGATTTCGTTGGAAACGGGATGCAATATAAAACGTACACAGCAGCATACTCAGAAAATACTTTGCCATATTTCCATTCAAGTCACAGAGTGGAACATTCCCATTCATAGAGCAGGTTGGAAACACTCTTTTTGGAGTATCTGGAAGTGGACATTTGGAGCGCTTTCTGAACTATGGTGAAAAAGGAAATATCTTCCAATGAAAACAAGACAGAAGCATTCTGAGAAACTTATTTGTGATGTGTGTCCTCAACAAACGGACTTGAACCTTTCGTTTCATGCAGTACTTCTGGAACACTCTTTTTGAAGATTCTGCATGCGGATATTTGGATAGCTTTGAGGATTTCGTTGGAAACGGGCTTACATGTAAAAATTAGACAGCAGCATTCTCAGAAACTTCTTTGTGGTGTCTGCATTCAAGTCACAGAATTGAACTTCCCCTCACATAGAGCAGTTGTGCAGCACTCTATTTGTAGTATCTGGAAGTGGACATTTGGAGGGCTTTGTAGCCTATCTGGAAAAAGGAAATATCTTCCCATGAATGCGAGATAGAAGTAATCTCAGAAACATGTTTATGCTGTATCTTCTCAACTAACTGTGCTGAACATTTCTATTGATAGAGCAGTTTTGAGACACTCTTCTTTTGGAATCTGCAAGTGGATATTTGGATAGATTTGAGGATTTCGTTGGAAACGGGATTATATATAAAAAGTAGACAGCAGCATTCTCAGAAACTTCTTTGTGATGTTTGCATCCAGCTCTCAGAGTTGAACATTCCCTTTCATAGAGTAGGTTTGAAACCCTCTTTTTATAGTGTCTGGAAGCGGGCATTTGGAGCGCTTTCAGGCCTATGCTTAAAATAGGAAATATCTACCTACAGAAACTAGACAGAAGCATTCTGAGAATCACGTTTGTGATGTGGGTACTCAACTAACAGTGTTGATCCATTCTTTTGATACAGCAGTTTTGAACCACACTTTTTGTAGAATCTGCAAGAGGATATTTGGATAGCTGTGAGGATTTCGTTGGAAACGGGAATGTCTTCAAAGAAAATCTAGACAGAAACATTCTCAGAAACACCTTCGTGATGTTTGCAATCAAGTCACAGAGTTGAACCTTCCGTTTCATAGAGCAGGTTGGAAACACTCTTTTTGTAGTATCTGGAAGTGGACATTTGGAGCGCTTTCAGGCCTATGGTGAAAAAGGAAATATCTTCCCATAAAAACGACATAGAAGCTATCTCAGGAACTTGTTTATGATGCATCTAATCAACTAACAGTGTTGAACCTTTGTACTGACAGAGCAGTTTGAAACACTTTTTTTTTGGAATCTGCAAGTGGATATTTGGATCGCTTTGAGGATTTCGTTGGAAACGGGATGCAATATAAAACGTACACAGCAGCATACTCAGAAAATACTTTGCCATATTTCCATTCAAGTCACAGAGTGGAACATTCCCATTCATAGAGCAGGTTGGAAACACTCTTTTTGGAGTATCTGGAAGTGGACATTTGGAGCGCTTTCTGAACTATGGTGAAAAAGGAAATATCTTCCAATGAAAACAAGACAGAAGCATTCTGAGAAACTTATTTGTGATGTGTGTCCTCAACTAACGGACTTGAACCTTTCGTTTCATGCAGTACTTCTGGAACAGTCTTTTTGAAGATTCTGCATGAGGATATTTGGATAGCTTTGAGGATTTCGTTGGAAACGGGCTTACATATAAAAAGTAGACAGCAGCATTCTCAGAAACTTCTTTGTGGTGTCTGCATTCAAGTCACAGAATTGAACTTCCCCTCACATAGAGCAGTTGTGCAGCACTCTATTTGTAGTATCTGGAAGTGGACATTTGGAGGGCTTTGTAGCCTATCTGGAAAAAGGAAATATCTTCCCATGAATGCGAGATAGAAGTAATCTCAGAAACATGTTTATGCTGTATCTACTCAACTAACTGTGCTGAACATTTCTATTGATAGAGCAGTTTTGAGACCCTCTTCTTTTGGAATCTGCAAGTGGATATTTGGATAGATTTGAGGATTTCGTTGGAAACGGGATTATATATAAAAAGTAGACAGCAGCATTCTCAGAAACTTCTTTGTGATGTTTGCATCCAGCTCTCAGAGTTGAACATTCCCTTTCATAGAGTAGGTTTGAAACCCTCTTTTTATAGTGTCTGGAAGCGGGCATTTGGAGCGCTTTCAGGCCTGTGCTGAAAAAGGAAATATCTACCTATAGAAACTAGACAGAAGCATTCTGAGAATCACGTTTGTGATGTGGGTACTCAACTAACAGTGTTGATCCATTCTTTTGATACAGCAGTTTTGAACCACACTTTTTGTAGAATCTGCAAGTGGATATTTGGATAGCTGTGAGGATTTCGTTGGAAACGGGAATGTCTTCATAGAAAATTTAGACAGAAGCATTCTCAGAACCTTGATTGTGATGTGTGTTCTCCACTAACAGAGTTGAACCTTTCTTTTGACAGAACTGTTCTGAAACATTCTTTTTATAGAATCTGGAAGTGGATATTTGGAAAGCTTTGAGGATTTCGTTGGAAACGGGAATATCTTCAAATAAAATCTAGCCAGAAGCATTCTAAGAAACATCTTAGGGATGTTTACATTCAAGTCACAGAGTTGAACATTCCCTTTCACAGAGCAGGTTTGAAACAATCTTCTCGTACTATCTGGCAGTGGACATTTTGAGCTCCTTGGGGCCTATGCTGAAAAAGGAAATATCTTCCGACAAAAACTAGACAGAAGCATTCGCAGAATCACGTTTGTGATGTGTGCACTCAACTGTCAGAATTGAACCTTGGTTTGGACAGAGCACTTTTGAAACACTCTTTTTGTAGAATCTGCAGGTGGATATTTGGCTAGCTTTGAGGATTTCGTTGGAAACGGTAATGTCTTCAAAGAAAATGTAGACAGAAGCATTCTCAGAAACACCTTCGTGATGTTTGCAATCAAGTCACAGAGTTGAACCTTCCGTTTCATAGAGCAGGTTGGAAACACTCTTTTTGTAGTATCTGGAAGTGGACATTTGGAGCGCTTTCAGGCCTATGGTGAAAAAGGAAATATCTTCCCATAAAAACGACATAGAAGCTATCTCAGGAACTTGTTTATGATGCATCTAATCAACTAACAGTGTTGAACCTTTGTACTGACAGAGCAGTTTGAAACACTCTTTTTTTGGAATCTGCAAGTGGATATTTGGATCGCTTTGAGGATTTCGTTGGAAACGGGATGCAATATAAAACGTACACAGCAGCATACTCAGAAAATACTTTGCCATATTTCCATTCAAGTCACAGAGTGGAACATTCCCATTCATAGAGCAGGTTGGAAACACTCCTTTTGTAGTATCTGGAAGTGGACATTTGGAGCGCTTTCTGAACTATGGTGAAAGAGGAAATATACTTCCAATGAAAACAAGACAGAAGCATTCTGAGAAACTTATTTGTGATGTGTGTCCTCAACTAACGGACTTGAACCTTTCGTTTCATGCAGTACTTCTGGAACACTCTTTTTGAAGATTCTGCATGCGGATATTTGGATAGCTTTGAGGATTTCGTTGGAAACGGGCTTACATATAAAAATTAGACAGCAGCATTCTCAGAAACTTCTTTGTGGTGTCTGCATTCAAGTCACAGAATTGAACATCCCCTCACATAGAGCAGCTGTGCAGCACTCTATTTGTAGTATCTCGAAGTGGACATTTGGAGGGCTTTGTAGCCTATCTGGAAAAAGGAAATATCTTCCCATGAATGCGAGATAGAAGTAATCTCAGAAACATGATTATGCTGTATCTACTCAACTAACTGTGCTGAACATTTCTATTGATAGAGCAGTTTTGAGACACTCTCCTGTTGGAATCTGCAAGTGGATATTTCGATAGATTTGAGGATTTCCTTGGAAACGGGATTATATATCAAAAGTAGACAGCAGCATTCTCAGAAACTTCTTTGTGAGGTTTGCATCCAGCTCTCAGAGTTGAACATTCCCTTTCGTGGAGTGGGTTTGAAACCCTCTTTTTATAGTGTCTGGAAGCGGGCATTTGGAGCGCTTTCAGGCCTATGCTGAAAAAGGAAATATCTACCTATAGAAACTAGACAGAAAGCATTCTGAGCAATCACGTTTGTGATGTGGGTACTCAACTAACAGTGTTGATCCATTCTTTTGATACAGCAGTTTTGAACCACACTTTTTGTAGAATCTGCAAGTGGATATTTGGATAGCTGTGAGGATTTCGTTGGAAACGGGAATGTCTTCATAGAAAATTTAGACAGAAGCATTCTCAGAACCTTGATTGTGATGTGTGTTCTCCACTAACAGAGTTGAACCTTTCTTTTGACAGAACTGTTCTGAAACATTCTTTTTATAGAATCTGGAAGTGGATATTTGGAAAGCTTTGAGGATTTCGTTGGAAACGGGAATATCTTCAAATAAAATCTAGCCAGAAGCATTCTAAGAAACATCTTAGGGATGTTTACATTCAAGTCACAGAGTTGAACATTCCCTTTCACAGAGCAGGTTTGAAACAATCTTCTCGTACTATCTGGCAGTGGACATTTTGAGCTCCTTGGGGCCTATGCTGAAAAAGGAAATATCTTCCGACAAAAACTAGACAGAAGCATTCGCAGAATCACGTTTGTGATGTGTGCACTCAACTGTCAGAATTGAACCTTGGTTTGGAGAGAGCACTTTTGAAACACTCTTTTTGTAGAATCTGCAGGTGGATATTTGGCTAGCTTTGAGGATTTCGTTGGAAACGGTAATGTCTTCAAAGAAAATCTAGACAGAAGCATTCTCAGAAACACCTTCGTGATGTTTGCAATCAAGTCACAGAGTTGAACCTTCCGTTTCATAGAGCAGGTTGGAAACACTCTTTTTGTAGTATCTGGAAGTGGACATTTGGAGTGCTTTCAGGCCTATGGTGAAAAAGGAAATATCTTCCCATAAAAACGACATAGAAGCTATCTCAGGAACTTGTTTATGATGCATCTAATCAACTAACAGTGTTGAACCTTTGTACTGACAGAGCAGTTTGAAACACTCTTTTTTTGGAATCTGCAAGTGGATATTTGGATCGCTTTGAGGATTTCGTTGGAAACGGGATGCAATATAAAACGTACACAGCAGCATACTCAGAAAATACTTTGCCATATTTCCATTCAAGTCACAGAGTGGAACATTCCCATTCATAGAGCAGGTTGGAAACACTCTTTTTGGAGTATCTGGAAGTGGACATTTGGAGCGCTTTCTGAACTATGGTGAAAAAGGAAATATCTTCCAATGAAAACAAGACAGAAGCATTCTGAGAAACTTATTTGTGATGTGTGTCCTCAACAAACGGACTTGAACCTTTCGTTTCATGCAGTACTTCTGGAACACTCTTTTTGAAGATTCTGCATGCGGATATTTGGATAGCTTTGAGGATTTCGTTGGAAACGGGCTTACATGTAAAAATTAGACAGCAGCATTCTCAGAAACTTCTTTGTGGTGTCTGCATTCAAGTCACAGAATTGAACTTCCCCTCACATAGAGCAGTTGTGCAGCACTCTATTTGTAGTATCTCGAAGTGGACATTTGGAGGGCTTTGTAGCCTATCTGGAAAAAGGAAATATCTTCCCATGAATGCGAGATAGAAGTAATCTCAGAAACATGTTTATGCTGTATCTACTCAACTAACTGTGCTGAACATTTCTATTGATAGAGCAGTTTTGAGACACTCTTCTTTTGGAATCTGCAAGTGGATATTTGGATAGATTTGAGGATTTCGTTGGAAACGGGATTATATATCAAAAGTAGACAGCAGCATTCTCAGAAACTTCTTTGTGATGTTTGCATCCAGCTCTCAGAGTTGAACATTCCCTTTCATAGAGTAGGTTTGAAACCCTCTTTTTATAGTGTCTGCAAGCGGGCATTTGGAGCGCTTTCAGGCCTATGCTTAAAATAGGAAATATCTACCTACAGAAACTAGACAGAAGCATTCTGAGAATCACGTTTGTGATGTGGGTACTCAACTAACAGTGTTGATCCATTCTTTTGATACAGCAGTTTTGAACCACACTTTTTGTAGAATCTGCAAGAGGATATTTGGATAGCTGTGAGGATTTCGTTGGAAACGGGAATGTCTTCAAAGAAAATCTAGACAGAAGCATTCTCAGAAACACCTTCGTGATGTTTGCAATCAAGTCACAGAGTTGAACCTTCCGTTTCATAGAGCAGGTTGGAAACACTCTTATTGTAGTATCTGGAAGTGGACATTTGGAGCGCTTTCAGGCCTATGGTGAAAAAGGAAATATCTTCCCATAAAAACGACATAGAAGCTATCTCAGGAACTTGTTTATGATGCATCTAATCAACTAACAGTGTTGAACCTTTGTACTGACAGAGCAGTTTGAAACACTCTTTTTTTGGAATCTGCAAGTGGATATTTGGATCACTTTGAGGATTTCGTTGGAAACGGGATGCAATATAAAACGTACACAGCAGCATACTCAGAAAATACTTTGCCATGTTTCCATTCAAGTCACAGAGTGGAACATTCCCATTCATAGAGCAGGTTGGAAACACTCTTTTTGGAGTATCTGGAAGTGGACATTTGGAGCGCTTTTTGAACTATGGTGAAAAAGGAAATATCTTCCAATGAAAACAAGACAGAAGCATTCTGAGAAACTTATTTGTGATGTGTGTCCTCAACAAACGGACTTGAACCTTTCGTTTCATGCAGTACTTCTGGAACACTCTTTTTGAAGATTCTGCATGCGGATATTTGGATAGCTTTGAGGATTTCGTTGGAAACGGGCTTACATGTAAAAATTAGACAGCAGCATTCTCAGAAACTTCTTTGTGGTGTCTGCATTCAAGTCACAGAATTGAACTTCCCCTCACATAGAGCAGTTGTGCAGCACTCTATTTGTAGTATCTGGAAGTGGACATTTGGAGGGCTTTGTAGCCTATCTGGAAAAAGGAAATATCTTCCCATGAATGCGAGATAGAAGTAATCTCAGAAACATGTTTATGCTGTATCTACTCAACTAACTGTGCTGAACATTTCTATTGATAGAGCAGTTTTGAGACACTCTTCTTTTGGAATCTGCAAGTGGATATTTGGATAGATTTGAGGATTTCGTTGGAAACGGGATTATATATAAAAAGTAGACAGCAGCATTCTCAGAAACTTCTTTGTGATGTTTGCATCCAGCTCTCAGAGTTGAACATTCCCTTTCATAGAGTAGGTTTGAAACCCTCTTTTTATAGTGTCTGGAAGCGGGCATTTGGAGCGCTTTCAGGCCTATGCTTAAAATAGGAAATATCTACCTACAGAAACTAGACAGAAGCATTCTGAGAATCACGTTTGTGATGTGGGTACTCAACTAACAGTGTTGATCCATTCTTTTGATACAGCAGTTTTGAACCACACTTTTTGTAGAATCTGCAAGAGGATATTTGGATAGCTGTGAGGATTTCGTTGAGAAACGGGAATGTCTTTAAAGAAAATCTAGACAGAAGCATTCTCAGAACCTTGATTGTGATGTGTGTTCTCCACTAACAGAGTTGAACCTTTGTTTTGACAGAACTGTTCTGAAACATTCTTTTTATAGAATCTGGAAGTGGATATTTGGAAAGCTTTGAGGATTTCGTTGGAAACGGGAATATCTTCAAATCAAATCTAGCCAGAAGCATTCTAAGAAACATCTTAGGGATGTTTATATTCAAGTCACAGAGTTGAACATTCCCTTTCACAGAGCAGGTTTGAAACAATCTTCTCGTACTATCTGGAAGTGGACATTTTGTGCTCCTTGGGGCCTATGCTGAAAAAGGAAATATCTTCCGACAAAAACTAGACAGAAGCATTCGCAGAATCACGTTTGTGATGTGTGCACTCAACTGTCAGAATTGAACCTTTGTTTGGACAGAGCACTTTTGAAACACTCTTTTTGTAGAATCTGCAGGTGGATATTTGACTAGCTTTGAGGATTTCGTTGGAAACGGTAATGTCTTCAAAGAAAATCTAGACAGAAACATTCTCAGAAACACCTTCGTGATGTTTGCAATCAAGTCACAGAGTTGAACCTTCCGTTTCGTAGAGCAGGTTGGAAACACTCTTTTTGTAGTATCTGGAAGTGGACATTTGGAGCGCTTTCAGGCCTATGGTGAAGAAGGAAATATCTTACCATAAAAACGACATAGAAGCTATCTCAGGAACTTGTTTATGATGCATCCAATCAACTAACAGTGTTGAACCTTTGTACTGACAGAGCAGTGTGAAACACTGTTTTTTTTGGAATCTGCAAGTGGATATTTGGATCGCTTTGAGGATTTCGTTGGAAACGGGATGCAATATAAAACGTACACAGCAGCTTACTCAGAAAATACTTTGCCATATTTCCATTCAAGTCACAGAGTGGAACATTCCCATTCATAGAGCAGGTTGGAAACACTCTTTTTGGAGTATCTGGAAGTGGACATTTGG
This sequence comes from Homo sapiens, assembly GCF_000001405.40. Taxonomy (NCBI): domain Eukaryota; kingdom Metazoa; phylum Chordata; class Mammalia; order Primates; family Hominidae; genus Homo; species Homo sapiens. Next base: position 44,143,307 of record NC_000008.11, read on the forward strand.
AGCGCTTTCTGAACTATGGTGAAAAAGGAAATATCTTCCAATGAAAACAAGACAGAAGCATTCTGAGAAACTTATTTGTGATGTGTGTCCTCAACAAACGGACTTGAACCTTTCGTTTCATGCAGTACTTCTGGAACACTCTTTTTGAAGATTCTGCATGCGGATATTTGGATAGCTTTGAGGATTTCGTTGGAAACGGGCTTACATGTAAAAATTAGACAGCAGCATTCTCAGAAACTTCTTTGTGGTGTCTGCATTCAAGTCACAGAATTGAACTTCCCCTCACATAGAGCAGTTGTGCAGCACTCTATTTGTAGTATCTCGAAGTGGACATTTGGAGGGCTTTGTAGCCTATCTGGAAAAAGGAAATATCTTCCCATGAATGCGAGATAGAAGTAATCTCAGAAACATGTTTATGCTGTATCTACTCAACTACCTGTGCTGAACATTTCTATTGATAGAGCAGTTTTGAGACACTCTTCTTTAGGAATCTGCAAGTGGATATTTGGATAGATTTGAGGATTTCGTTGGAAACGGGATTATATATCAAAAGTAGACAGCAGCATTCTCAGAAACTTCTTTGTGATGTTTGCATCCAGCTCTCAGAGTTGGACATTCCCTTTCATAGAGTAGGTTTGAAACCCTCTTTTTATAGTGTCTGGAAGCGGGCATTTGGAGCGCTTTCAGGCCTATGCTGAAAAAGGAAATATCTACCTATAGAAACTAGACAGAAGCATTCTGAGAATCACGTTTGTGATGTGGGTACTCAACTAACAGTGTTGATCCATTCTTTTGATACAGCAGTTTTGAACCACACTTTTTGTAGAATCTGCAAGTGGATATTTGGATAGCTGTGAGGATTTCGTTGGAAACGGGAATGTCTTCATAGAAAATTTAGACAGAAGCATTCTCAGAACCTTGATTGTGATGTGTGTTCTCCACTAACAGAGTTGAACCTTTCTTTTGACAGAACTGTTCTGAAACATTCTTTTTGTAGAATCTGGAAGTGGATATTTGGAAAGCTTTGAGGATTTCGTTGGAAACGGGAATATCTTCAAATAAAATCTAGCCAGAAGCATTCTAAGAAACATCTTAGGGATGTTTACATTCAAGTCACAGAGTTGAACATTCCCTTTCACAGAGCAGGTTTGAAACAATCTTCTCGTACTATCTGGCAGTGGACATTTTGAGCTCCTTGGGGCCTATGCTGAAAAAGGAAATATCTTCCGACAAAAACTAGACAGAAGCATTCGCAGAATCACGTTTGTGATGTGTGCATCAACTGTCAGAATTGAACCTTGGTTTGGACAGAGCACTTTTGAAACACTCTTTTTGTAGAATCTGCAGGTGGATATTTGGCTAGCTTTGAGGATTTCGTTGGAAACGGTAATGTCTTCAAAGAAAATCTAGACAGAAGCATTCTCAGAAACACCTTCGTGATGTTTGCAATCAAGTCACAGAGTTGAACCTTCCGTTTCATAGAGCAGGTTGGAAACACTCTTTTTGTAGTATCTGGAAGTGGACATTTGGAGGGCTTTGTAGCCTATCTGGAAAAAGGAAATATCTTCCCATGAATGCGAGATAGAAGTAATCTCAGAAACATGTTTATGCTGTATCTACTCAACTAACTGTGCTGAACATTTCTATTGATAGAGCAGTTTTGAGACACTCTTCTTTTGGAATCTGCAAGTGGATATTTGGATAGATTTGAGGATTTCGTTGGAAACGGGATTATATATAAAAAGTAGACAGCAGCATTCTCAGAAACTTCTTTGTGATGTTTGCATCCAGCTCTCAGAGTTGAACATTCCCTTTCATAGAGTAGGTTTGAAACCCTCTTTTTATAGTGTCTGGAAGCGGGCATTTGGAGCGCTTTCAGGCCTATGCTTAAAATAGGAAATATCTACCTACAGAAACTAGACAGAAGCATTCTGAGAATCACGTTTGTGATGTGGGTACTCAACTAACAGTGTTGATCCATTCTTTTGATACAGCAGTTTTGAACCACACTTTTTGTAGAATCTGCAAGAGGATATTTGGATAGCTGTGAGGATTTCGTTGGAAACGGGAATGTCTTCAAAGAAAATCTAGACAGAAGCATTCTCAGAAACACCTTCGTGATGTTTGCAATCAAGTCACAGAGTTGAACCTTCCGTTTCATAGAGCAGGTTGGAAACACTCTTATTGTAGTATCTGGAAGTGGACATTTGGAGCGCTTTCAGGCCTATGGTGAAAAAGGAAATATCTTCCCATAAAAACGACATAGAAGCTATCTCAGGAACTTGTTTATGATGCATCTAATCAACTAACAGTGTTGAACCTTTGTACTGACAGAGCAGTTTGAAACACTCTTTTTTTGGAATCTGCAAGTGGATATTTGGATCGCTTTGAGGATTTCGTTGGAAACGGGATGCAATATAAAACGTACACAGCAGCATACTCAGAAAATACTTTGCCATATTTCCATTCAAGTCACAGAGTGGAACATTCCCATTCATAGAGCAGGTTTGAAACACTCTTTTTGGAGTATCTGGAAGTGGACATTTGGAGCGCTTTCTGAACTATGGTGAAAAAGGAAATATCTTCCAATGAAAACAAGACAGAAGCATTCTGAGAAACTTATTTGTGATGTGTGTCCTCAACAAACGGACTTGAAACTTTCGTTTCATGCAGTACTTCTGGAACACTTTTTGAAGATTCTGCATGCGGATATTTGGATAGCTTTGAGGATTTCGTTGGAAACGGGCTTACATGTAAAAATTAGACAGCAGCATTCTCAGAAACTTCTTTGTGGTGTCTGCATTCAAGTCACAGAGTTGAACTTCCCCTCACATAGAGCAGTTGTGCAGCACTCTATTTGTAGTATCTGGAAGTGGACATTTGGAGGGCTTTGTAGCCTATCTGGAAAAAGGAAATATCTTCCCATGAATGCGAGATAGAAGTAATCTGAGAAACATGTTTATGCTGTATCTACTCAACTAACTGTGCTGAACATTTCTATTGATAGAGCAGTTTTGAGACACTCTTCTTTTGGAATCTGCAAGTGGATATTTGGATAGATTTGAGGATTTCGTTGGAAACGGGATTATATATAAAAAGTAGACAGCAGCATTCTCAGAAACTTCTTTGTGATGTTTGCATCCAGCTCTCAGAGTTGAACATTCCCTTTCATAGAGTAGGTTTGAAACCCTCTTTTTATAGTGTCTGGAAGCGGGCATTTGGAGCGCTTTCAGGCCTATGCTTAAAATAGGAAATATCTACCTACAGAAACTAGACAGAAGCATTCTGAGAATCACGTTTGTGATGTGGGTACTCAACTAACAGTGTTGATCTATTCTTTTGATACAGCAGTTTTGAACCACACTTTTTGTAGAATCTGCAAGAGGATATTTGGATAGCTGTGAGGATTTCGTTGGAAACGGTAATGTCTTCAAAGAAAATCTAGACAGAAGCATTCTCAGAAATACCTTCGTGATGTTTGCAATCAAGTCACAGAGTTGAACCTTCCGTTTCATAGAGCAGGTTGGAAACACTCTTATTGTAGTATCTGGAAGTGGACATTTGGAGCGCTTTCAGGCCTATGGTGAAAAAGGAAATATCTTCCCATAAAAACGATATAGAAGCTATCTCAGGAACTTGTTTATGATGCATCTAATCAACTAACAGTGTTGAACCTTTGTACTGACAGAGCAGTTTGAAACACTCTTTTTTTGGAATCTGCAAGTGGATATTTGGATCCCTTTGAGGATTTCGTTGGAAACGGGATGCAATATAAAACGTACACAGCAGCATACTCAGAAAATACTTTGCCATATTTCCATTCAAGTCACAGAGTGGAACATTCCCATTCATAGAGCAGGTTTGAAACACTCTTTTTGGAGTATCTGGAAGTGGACATTTGGAGCGCTTTCTGAACTATGGTGAAAAAGGAAATATCTTCCAATGAAAACAAGACAGAAGCATTCTGAGAAACTTATTTGTGATGTGTGTCCTCAACAAACGGACTTGAACCTTTCGTTTCATGCAGTACTTCTGGAACACTCTTTTTGAAGATTCTGCATGCGGATATTTGGATAGCTTTGAGGATTTCGTTGGAAACGGGCTTACATGTAAAAATTAGACAGCAGCATTCTCAGAAACTTCTTTGTGGTGTCTGCATTCAAGTCACAGAATTGAACTTCCCCTCACATAGAGCAGTTGTGCAGCACTCTATTTGTAGTATCTCGAAGTGGACATTTGGAGGGCTTTGTAGCCTATCTGGAAAAAGGAAATATCTTCCCATGAATGCGAGATAGAAGTAATCTCAGAAACATGTTTATGCTGTATCTACTCAACTAACTGTGCTGAACATTTCTATTGATAGAGCAGTTTTGAGACACTCTTCTTTTGGAATCTGCAAGTGGATATTTGGATAGATTTGAGGATTTCGTTGGAAACGGGATTATATATAAAAAGTAGACAGCAGCATTCTCAGAAACTTCTTTGTGATGTTTGCATCCAGCTCTCAGAGTTGAACATTCCCTTTCATAGAGTAGGTTTGAAACCCTCTTTTTATAGTGTCTGGAAGCGGGCATTTGGAGCGCTTTCAGGCCTATGCTGAAAAAGGAAATATCTACCTATAGAAACTAGAGAGAAGCATTCTGAGAATCACGTTTGTGATGTGGGTACTCAACTAACAGTGTTGATCCATTCTTTTGATACAGCAGTTTTGAACCACACTTTTTGTAGAATCTGCAAGTGGATATTTGGATAGCTGTGAGGATTTCGTTGGAAACGGGAATGTCTTCATAGAAAATTTAGACAGAAGCATTCTCAGAACCTTGATTGTGATGTGTGTTCTCCACTAACAGAGTTGAACCTTTCTTTTGACAGAAATGTTCTGAAACATTCTTTTTATAGAATCTGGAAGTGGATATTTGGAAAGCTTTGAGGATTTCATTGGAAACGGGAATATCTTCAAATAAAATCTAGCCAGAAGCATTCTAAGAAACATCTTAGGGATGTTTACATTCAAGTCACAGAGTTGAACATTCCCTTTCACAGAGCAGGTTTGAAACAATCTTCTCGTACTATCTGGCAGTGGACATTTTGAGCTCCTTGGGGCCTATGCTGAAAAAGGAAATATCTTCCGACAAAAACTAGACAGAAGCATTCGCAGAATCACGTTTGTGATGTGTGCACTCAACTGTCAGAATTGAACCTTGGTTTGGACAGAGCACTTTTGAAACACTCTTTTTGTAGAATCTGCAGGTGGATATTTGGCTAGCTTTGAGGATTTCGTTGGAAACGGTAATGTCTTCAAAGAAAATCTAGACAGAAGCATTCTCAGAAACACCTTCGTGATGTTTGCAATCAAGTCACAGAGTTGAACCTTCCGTTTCATAGAGCAGGTTGGAAACACTCTTTTTGTAGTATCTGGAAGTGGACATTTGGAGGGCTTTGTAGCCTATCTGGAAAAAGGAAATATCTTCCCATGAATGCGAGAGAGAAGTAATCTCAGAAACATGTTTATGCTGTATCTACTCAACTAACTGTGCTGAACATTTCTATTGATAGAGCAGTTTTGAGACACTCTTCTTTTGGAATCTGCAAGTGGATATTTGGATATATTTGAGGATTTCGTTGGAAACGGGATTATATATAAAAAGTAGACAGCAGCATTCTCAGAAACTTCTTTGTGATGTTTGCATCCAGCTCTCAGAGTTGAACATTCCCTTTCATAGAGTAGGTTTGAAACCCTCTTTTTATAGTGTCTGGAAGCGGGCATTTGGAGCGCTTTCAGGCCTATGCTGAAAAAGGAAATATCTACCTATAGAAACTAGACAGAAGCATTCTGAGAATCACGTTTGTGATGTGGGTACTCAACTAACAGTGTTGATCCATTCTTTTGATACAGCAGTTTTGAACCACACTTTTTGTAGAATCTGCAAGTGGATATTTGGATAGCTGTGAGGATTTCGTTGGAAACGGGAATGTCTTCATAGAAAATTTAGACGGAAGCATTCTCAGAACCTTGATTGTGATGTGTGTTCTCCACTAACAGAGTTGAACCTTTCTTTTGACAGAACTGTTCTGAAACATTCTTTTTATAGAATCTGGAAGTGGATATTTGGAAAGCTTTGAGGATTTCGTTGGAAACGGGAATATCTTCAAATCAAATCTAGCCAGAAGCATTCTAAGAAACATCTTAGGGATGTTTACATTCAAGTCACAGAGTTGAACATTCCCTTTCACAGAGCAGGTTTGAAACAATCTTCTCGTACTATCTGGCAGTGGACATTTTGAGCTCCTTGGGGCCTATGCTGAAAAAGGAAATATCTTCCGACAAAAACTAGACAGAAGCATTCGCAGAATCACGTTTGTGATGTGTGCACTCAACTGTCAGAATTGAACCTTGGTTTGGACAGAGCACTTTTGAAACACTCTTTTTGTAGAATCTGCAGGTGGATATTTGGCTAGCTTTGAGGATTTCGTTGGAAACGGTAATGTCTTCAAAGAAAATGCTAGACAGAAGCATTCTCAGAAACACCTTCGTGATGTTTGCAATCAAGTCACAGAGTTGAACCTTCCGTTTCATAGAGCAGGTTGGAAACACTCTTTTTGTAGTATCTGGAAGTGGACATTTGGAGGGCTTTGTAGCCTATCTGGAAAAAGGAAATATCTTCCCATGAATGCGAGATAGAAGTAATCTCAGAAACATGTTTATGCTGTATCTACTCAACTAACTGTGCTGAACATTTCTATTGATAGAGCAGTTTTGAGACACTCTTCTTTTGGAATCTGCAAGTGGATATTTGGATAGATTTGAGGATTTCGTTGGAAACGGGATTATATATAAAAAGTAGACAGCAGCATTCTCAGAAACTTCTTTGTGATGTTTGCATCCAGCTCTCAGAGTTGAACATTCCCTTTCATAGAGTAGGTTTGAAACCCTCTTTTTATAGTGTCTGGAAGCGGGCATTTGGAGCGCTTTCAGGCCTATGCTTAAAATAGGAAATATCTACCTACAGAAACTAGACAGAAGCATTCTGAGAATCACGTTTGTGATGTGGGTACTCAACTAACAGTGTTGATCCATTCTTTTGATAAAGCAGTTTTGAACCACACTTTTTGTAGAATCTGCAAGAGGATATTTGGATAGCTGTGAGGATTTCGTTGGAAACGGGAATGTCTTCAAAGAAAATCTAGACAGAAGCATTCTCAGAAACACCTTCGTGATGTTTGCAATCAAGTCACAGAGTTGAACCTTCCGTTTCATAGAGCAGGTTGGAAACACTCTTATTGTAGTATCTGGAAGTGGACATTTGGAGCGCTTTCAGGCCTATGGTGAAAAAGGAAATATCTTCCCATAAAAACGACATAGAAGCTATCTCAGGAACTTGTTTATGATGCATCTAATCAACTAACAGTGTTGAACCTTTGTACTGACAGAGCAGTTTGAAACACTCTTTTTTTGGAATCTGCAAGTGGATATTTGGATCGCTTTGAGGATTTCGTTGGAAACGGGATGCAATATAAAACGTACACAGCAGCATACTCAGAAAATACTTTGCCATATTTCCATTCAAGTCACAGAGTGGAACATTCCCATTCATAGAGCAGGTTTGAAACACTCTTTTTGGAGTATCTGGAAGTGGACATTTGGAGCGCTTTCTGAACTATGGTGAAAAAGGAAATATCTTCCAATGAAAACAAGACAGAAGCATTCTGAGAAACTTATTTGTGATGTGTGTCCTCAACAAACGGACTTGAACCTTTCGTTTCATGCAGTACTTCTGGAACACTCTTTTTGAAGATTCTGCATGCGGATATTTGGATAGCTTTGAGGATTTCGTTGGAAACGGGCTTACATGTAAAAATTAGACAGCAGCATTCTCAGAAACTTCTTTGTGGTGTCTGCATTCAAGTCACAGAATTGAACTTCCCCTCACATAGAGCAGTTGTGCAGCACTCTATTTGTAGTATCTGGAAGTGGACATTTGGAGGGCTTTGTAGCCTATCTGGAAAAAGGAAATATCTTCCCATGAATGCGAGATAGAAGTAATCTGAGAAACATGTTTATGCTGTATCTACTCAACTAACTGTGCTGAACATTTCTATTGATAGAGCAGTTTTGAGACACTCTTCTTTTGGAATCTGCAAGTGGATATTTGGATAGATTTGAGGATTTCATTGGAAACGGGATTATATATAAAAAGTAGACAGCAGCATTCTCAGAAACTTCTTTGTGATGTTTGCATCCAGCTCTCAGAGTTGAACATTCCCTTTCATAGAGTAGGTTTGAAACCCTCTTTTTATAGTGTCTGGAAGCGGGCATTTGGAGCGCTTTCAGGCCTATGCTTAAAATAGGAAATATCTACCTACAGAAACTAGACAGAAGCATTCTGAGAATCTCGTTTGTGATGTGGGTACTCAACTAACAGTGTTGATCCATTCTTTTGATACAGCAGTTTTGAACCACACTTTTTGTAGAATCTGCAAGAGGATATTTGGATAGCTGTGAGGATTTCGTTGGAAACGGGAATGTCTTCAAAGAAAATCTAGACAGAAACATTCTCAGAAACACCTTCGTGATGTTTGCAATCAAGTCAGAGAGTTGAACCTTCCGTTTCATAGAGCAGGTTGGAAACACTCTTATTGTAGTATCTGGAAGTGGACATTTGGAGCGCTTTCAGGCCTATGGTGAAAAAGGAAATATCTTCCCATAAAAACGACATAGAAGCTATCTCAGGAACTTGTTTATGAGGCATCTAATCAACTAACAGTGTTGAACCTTTGTACTGACAGAGCAGTTTGAAACACTCTTTTTTTGGAATCTGCAAGTGGATATTTGGATCGCTTTGAGGATTTCGTTGGAAACGGGATGCAATATAAAACGTACACAGCAGCATACTCAGAAAATACTTTGCCATATTTCCATTCAAGTCACAGAGTGGAACATTCCCATTCATAGAGCAGGTTGGAAACACTCTTTTTGGAGTATCTGGAAGTGGACATTTGGAGCGCTTTCTGAACTATGGTGAAAAAGGAAATATCTTCCAATGAAAACAAGACAGAAGCATTCTGAGAAACTTATTTGTGATGTGTGTCCTCAACAAACGGACTTGAACCTTTCGTTTCATGCAGTACTTCTGGAACACTCTTTTTGAAGATTCTGCATGCGGATATTTGGATAGCTTTGAGGATTTCGTTGGAAACGGGCTTACATGTAAAAATTAGACAGCAGCATTCTCAGAAACTTCTTTGTGGTGTCTGCATTCAAGTCACAGAATTGAACATCCCCTCACATAGAGCAGTTGTGCAGCACTCTATTTGTAGTATCTCGAAGTGGACATTTGGAGGGCTTTGAAGCCTATCTGGAAAAAGGAAATATCTTCCCATGAATGCGAGATAGAAGTAATCTCAGAAACATGTTTATGCTGTATCTACTCAACTAACTGTGCTGAACATTTCTATTGATAGAGCAGTTTTGAGACACTCTTCTTTTGGAATCTGCAAGTGGATATTTGGATAGATTTGAGGATTTCGTTGGAAACGGGATTATATATCAAAAGTAGACAGCAGCATTCTCAGAAACTTCTTTGTGATGTTTGCATCCAGCTCTCAGAGTTGAACATTCCCTTTCATAGAGTAGGTTTGAAACCCTCTTTTTATAGTGTCTGGAAGCGGGCATTTGGAGCGCTTTCAGGCCTATGCTGAAAAAGGAAATATCTACCTATAGAAACTAGACAGAAGCATTCTGAGAATCACGTTTGTGATGTGGGTACTCAACTAACAGTGTTGATCCATTCTTTTGATACAGCAGTTTTGAACCACACTTTTTGTAGAATCTGCAAGTGGATATTTGGATAGCTGTGAGGATTTCGTTGGAAACGGGAATGTCTTCATAGAAAATTTAGACAGAAGCATTCTCAGAACCTTGATTGTGATGTGTGTTCTCCACTAACAGAGTTGAACCTTTCTTTTGACAGAACTGTTCTGAAACATTCTTTTTATAGAATCTGGAAGTGGATATTTGGAAAGCTTTGAGGATTTCGTTGGAAACGGGAATATCTTCAAATCAAATCTAGCCAGAAGCATTCTAAGAAACATCTTAGGGATGTTTACATTCAAGTCACAGAGTTGAACATTCCCTTTCACAGAGCAGGTTTGAAACAATCTTCTCGTACTATCTGGCAGTGGACATTTTGAGCTCCTTGGGGCCTATGCTGAAAAAGGAAATATCTTCCGACAAAAACTAGACAGAAGCATTCGCAGAATCACGTTTGTGATGTGTGCACTCAACTGTCAGAATTGAACCTTGGTTTGGACAGAGCACTTTTGAAACACTCTTTTTGTAGAATCTGCAGGTGGATATTTGGCTAGCTTTGAGGATTTCGTTGGAAACGGTAATGTCTTCAAAGAAAATCTAGACAGAAGCATTCTCAGAAACACCTTCGTGATGTTTGCAATCAAGTCACAGAGTTGAACCTTCCGTTTCATAGAGCAGGTTGGAAACACTCTTTCTGTAGTATCTGGAAGTGGACATTTGGAGGGCTTTGTAGCCTATCTGGAAAAAGGAAATATCTTCCCATGAATGCGAGATAGAAGTAATCTCAGAAACATGTTTATGCTGTATCTACTCAACTAACTGTGCTGAACATTTCTATTGATAGAGCAGTTTTGAGACACTCTTCTTTTGGAATCTGCAAGTGGATATTTGGATAGATTTGAGGATTTCGTTGGAAACGGGATTATATATAAAAAGTAGACAGCAGCATTCTCAGAAACTTCTTTGTGATGTTTGCATCCAGCTCTCAGAGTTGAACATTCCCTTTCATAGAGTAGGTTTGAAACCCTCTTTTTATAGTGTCTGGAAGCGGGCATTTGGAGCGCTTTCAGGCCTATGCTGAAAAAGGAAATATCTACCTATAGAAACTAGACAGAAGCATTCTGAGAATCACGTTTGTGATGTGGGTACTCAACTAACAGTGTTGATCCATTCTTTTGATACAGCAGTTTTGAACCACACTTTTTGTAGAATCTGCAAGAGGATATTTGGATAGCTGTGAGGATTTCGTTGGAAACGGGAATGTCTTCAAAGAAAATCTAGACAGAAGCATTCTCAGAAACACCTTCGTGATGTTTGCAATCAAGTCACAGAGTTGAACCTTCCGTTTCATAGAGCAGGTTGGAAACACTCTTTTTGTAGTATCTGGAAGTGGACATTTGGAGCGCTTTCAGGCCTATGGTGAAAAAGGAAATATCTTCCCATAAAAACGACATAGAAGCTATCTCAGGAACTTGTTTATGATGCATCTAATCAACTAACAGTGTTGAACCTTTGTACTGACAGAGCAGTTTGAAACACTCTTTTTTTGGAATCTGCAAGTGGATATTTGGATCGCTTTGAGGATTTCGTTGGAAACGGGATGCAATATAAAACGTACACAGCAGCATACTCAGAAAATACTTTGCCATATTTCCATTCAAGTCACAGAGTGGAACATTCCCATTCATAGAGCAGGTTGGAAACACTCTTTTTGGAGTATCTGGAAGTGGACATTTGGAGCGCTTTCTGAACTATGGTGAAAAAGGAAATATCTTCCAATGAAAACAAGACAGAAGCATTCTGAGAAACTTATTTGTGATGTGTGTCCTCAACAAACGGACTTGAACCTTTCGTTTCATGCAGTACTTCTGGAACACTTTTTGAAGATTCTGCATGCGGATATTTGGATAGCTTTGAGGATTTCGTTGGAAACGGGCTTACATGTAAAAATTAGACAGCAGCATTCTCAGAAACTTCTTTGTCGTGTCTGCATTCAAGTCACAGAGTTGAACTTCCCCTCACATAGAGCAGTTGTGCAGCACTCTATTTGTAGTATCTGGAAGTGGACATTTGGAGGGCTTTGTAGCCTATCTGGAAAAAGGAAATATCTTCCCATGAATGCGAGATAGAAGTAATCTCAGAAACATGTTTATGCTGTATCTACTCAACTAACTGTGCTGAACATTTCTATTGATAGAGCAGTTTTGAGACACTCTTCTTTTGGAATCTGCAAGTGGATATTTGGATAGATTTGAGGATTTCGTTGGAAACGGGATTATATATAAAAAGTAGACAGCAGCATTCTCAGAAACTTCTTTGTGATGTTTGCATCCAGCTCTCAGAGTTGAACATTCCCTTTCATAGAGTAGGTTTGAAACCCTCTTTTTATAGTGTCTGCAAGCGGGCATTTGGAGCGCTTTAAGGCCTATGCTTAAAATAGGAAATATCTACCTACAGAAACTAGACAGAAGCATTCTGAGAATCACGTTTGTGATGTGGGTACTCAACTAACAGTGTTGATCCATTCTTTTGATACAGCAGTTTTGAACCACACTTTTTGTAGAATCTGCAAGAGGATATTTGGATAGCTGTGAGGATTTCGTTGGAAACGGGAATGTCTTCAAAGAAAATCTAGACAGAAGCATTCTCAGAAACACCTTCGTGATGTTTGCAATCAAGTCACAGAGTTGAACCTTCCGTTTCATAGAGCAGGTTGGAAACACTCTTATTGTAGTATCTGGAAGTGGACATTTGGAGCGCTTTCAGGCCTATGGTGAAAAAGGAAATATCTTCCCATAAAAACGACATAGAAGCTATCTCAGGAACTTGTTTATGATGCATCTAATCAACTAACAGTGTTGAACCTTTGTACTGACAGAGCAGTTTGAAACACTCTTTTTTTGGAATCTGCAAGTGGATATTTGGATCGCTTTGAGGATTTCGTTGGAAACGGGATGCAATATAAAACGTACACAGCAGCATACTCAGAAAATACTTTGCCATATTTCCATTCAAGTCAGAGAGTGGAACATTCCCATTCATAGAGCAGGTTTGAAACACTCTTTTTGGAGTATCTGGAAGTGGACATTTGGAGCGCTTTCTGAACTATGGTGAAAAAGGAAATATCTTCCAATGAAAACAAGACAGAAGCATTGTGAGAAACTTATTTGTGATGTGTGTCCTCAACAAACGGACTTGAACCTTTCGTTTCATGCAGTACTTCTGGAACACTCTTTTTGAAGATTCTGCATGCGGATATTTGGATAGCTTTGAGGATTTCGTTGGAAACGGGCTTACATGTAAAAATTAGACAGCAGCATTCTCAGAAACTTCTTTGTGGTGTCTGCATTCAAGTCACAGAATTGAACTTCCCCTCACATAGAGCAGTTGTGCAGCACTCTATTTGTAGTATCTCGAAGTGGACATTTGGAGGGCTTTGTAGCCTATCTGGAAAAAGGAAATATCTTCCCATGAATGCGAGATAGAAGTAATCTCAGAAACATGTTTATGCAGTATCTACTCAACTAACTGTGCTGAACATTTCTATTGATAGAGCAGTTTTGAGACACTCTTCTTTTGGAATCTGCAAGTGGATATTTGGATAGATTTGAGGATTTCGTTGGAAACGGGATTATATATCAAAAGTAGACAGCAGCATTCTCAGAAACTTCTTTGTGATGTTTGCATCCAGCTCTCAGAGTTGAACATTCCCTTTCATAGAGTAGGTTTGAAACCCTCTTTTTATAGTGTCTGGAAGCGGGCATTTGGAGCGCTTTCAGGCCTATGCTTAAAATAGGAAATATCTACCTATAGAAACTAGACAGAAGCATTCTGAGAATCACGTTTGTGATGTGGGTACTCAACTAACAGTGTTGATCCATTCTTTTGATACAGCAGTTTTGAACCACACTTTTTGTAGAATCTGCAAGTGGATATTTGGATAGCTGTGAGGATTTCGTTGGAAACGGGAATGTCTTCATAGAAAATTTAGACAGAAGCATTCTCAGAACCTTGATTGTGATGTGTGTTCTCCACTAACAGAGTTGAACCTTTCTTTTGACAGAACTGTTCTGAAACATTCTTTTTATAGAATCTGGAAGTGGATATTTGGAAAGCTTTGAGGATTTCGTTGGAAACGGGAATATCTTCAAATAAAATCTAGCCAGAAGCATTCTAAGAAACATCTTAGGGATGTTTACATTCAAGTCACAGAGTTGAACATTCCCTTTCACAGAGCAGGTTTGAAACAATCTTCTCGTACTATCTGGCAGTGGACATTTTGAGCTCTTTGGGGCCTATGCTGAAAAAGGAAATATCTTCCGACAAAAACTAGACAGAAGCATTCGCAGAATCACGTTTGTGATGTGTGCACTCAACTGTCAGAATTGAACCTTGGTTTGGAGAGAGCACTTTTGAAACACTCTTTTTGTAGAATCTGCAGGTGGATATTTGGCTAGCTTTGAGGATTTCGTTGGAAACGGTAATGTCTTCAAAGAAAATCTAGACAGAAGCATTCTCAGAAACACCTTCGTGATGTTTGCAATCAAGTCACAGAGTTGAACCTTCCGTTTCATAGAGCAGGTTGGAAACACACTTTTTGTAGTATCTGGAAGTGGACATTTGGAGGGCTTTGTAGCCTATCTGGAAAAAGGAAATATCTTCCCATGAATGCGAGATAGAAGTAATCTCAGAAACATGTTTATGCTGTATCTACTCAACTAACTGTGCTGAACATTTCTATTGATAGAGCAGTTTTGAGACACTCTTCTTTTGGAATCTGCAAGTGGATATTTGGATAGATTTGAGGATTTCGTTGGAAACGGGATTATATATAAAAAGTAGACAGCAGCATTCTCAGAAACTTCTTTGTGATGTTTGCATCCAGCTCCCAGAGTTGAACATTCCCTTTCATAGAGTAGTTTTGAAACCCTCTTTTTATAGTGTCTGGAAGCGGGCATTTGGAGCGCTTTCAGGCCTATGCTGAAAAAGGAAATATCTACCTATAGAAACTAGACAGAAGCATTCTGAGAATCACGTTTGTGATGTGGGTACCTCAACTAACAGTGTTGATCCATTCTTTTGATACAGCAGTTTTGAACAACACTTTTTGTAGAATCTGCAAGTGGATATTTGGATAGCTGTGAGGATTTCGTTGGAAACGGGAATGTCTTCATAGAAAATTTAGACAGAAGCATTCTCAGAACCTTGATTGTGATGTGTGTTCTCCACTAACAGAGTTGAACCTTTCTTTTGACAGAACTGTTCTGAAACATTCTTTTTATAGAATCTGGAAGTGGATATTTGGAAAGCTTTGAGGATTTCGTTGGAAACGGGAATATCTTCAAATCAAATCTAGCCAGAAGCATTCTAAGAAACATCTTAGGGATGTTTACATTCAAGTCACAGAGTTGAACATTCCCTTTCACAGAGCAGGTTTGAAACAATCTTCTCGTACTATCTGGAAGTGGACATTTTGAGCTCCTTGGGGCCTATGCTGAAAAAGGAAATATCTTCCGACAAAAACTAGACAGAAGCATTCGCAGAATCACGTTTGTGATGTGTGCACTCAACTGTCAGAATTGAACCTTGGTTTGGACAGAGCACTTTTGAAACACTCTTTTTGTAGAATCTGCAGGTGGATATTTGGCTAGCTTTGAGGATTTCGTTGGAAACGGTAATGACTTCAAAGAAAATCTACACAGAAGCATTCTCAGAAACACCTTCGTGATGTTTGCAATCAAGTCACAGAGTTGAACCTTCCGTTTCATAGAGCAGGTTGGAAACACTCTTTTTGTAGTATCTGGAAGTGGACATTTGGAGGGCTTTGTAGCCTATCTGGAAAAAGGAAATATCTTCCCATGAATGCGAGATAGAAGTAATCTCAGAAACATGTTTATGCTGTATCTACTCAACTAACTGTGCTGAACATTTCTATTGATAGAGCAGTTTTGAGACACTCTTCTTTTGGAATCTGCAAGTGGATATTTGGATAGATTTGAGGATTTCGTTGGAAACGGGATTATATATAAAAAGTAGACAGCAAGCATTATCAGAAACTTCTTTGTGATGTTTGCATCCAGCTCTCAGAGTTGAACATTCCCTTTCATAGAGTAGGTTTGAAACCCTCTTTTTATAGTGTCTGGAAGCGGGCATTTGGAGCGCTTTCAGGCCTATGCTTAAAATAGGAAATATCTACCTACAGGAACTAGACAGAAAGCATTCTGAGAATCACGTTTGTGATGTGGGTACTCAACTAACAGTGTTGATCCATTCTTTTGATACAGCAGTTTTGAACCACACTTTTTGTAGAATCTGCAAGAGGATATTTGGATAGCTGTGAGGATTTCGTTGGAAACGGGAATGTCTTCAAAGAAAATCTAGACAGAGCATTCTCAGAAACACCTTCGTGATGTTTGCAATCAAGTCACAGAGTTGAACCTTCCGTTTCATAGAGCAGGTTGGAAACACTCTTTTTGTAGTATCTGGAAGT
This sequence comes from Homo sapiens, assembly GCF_000001405.40. Lineage (NCBI taxonomy): Eukaryota > Metazoa > Chordata > Mammalia > Primates > Hominidae > Homo > Homo sapiens. The sequence goes on from NC_000008.11 coordinate 44,159,608, forward strand.
GGACATTTGGAGCGCTTTCAGGCCTATGGTGAAAAAGGAAATATCTTCCCATAAAAACGACATAGAAGCTATCTCAGGAACTTGTTTATGATGCATCTAATCAACTAACAGTGTTGAACCTTTGTACTGACAGAGCACTTTGAAACACTCTTTTTTTGGAATCTGCAAGTGGATATTTGGATCGCTTTGAGGATTTCGTTGGAAACGGGATGCAATATAAAACGTACACAGCAGCATACTCAGAAAATACTTTGCCATATTTCCATTCAAGTCACAGAGTGGAACATTCCCATTCATAGAGCAGGTTGGAAACACTCTTTTTGGAGTATCTGGAAGTGGACATTTGGAGCGCTTTCTGAACTATGGTGAAAAAGGAAATATCTTCCAATGAAAACAAGACAGAAGCATTCTGAGAAACTTATTTGTGATGTGTGTCCTCAACAAACGGACTTGAACCTTTCGTTTCATGCAGTACTTCTGGAACACTCTTTTTGAAGATTCTGCATGCGGATATTTGGATAGCTTTGAGGATTTCGTTGGAAACGGGCTTACATGTAAAAATTAGACAGCAGCATTCTCAGAAACTTCTTTGTGGTGTCTGCATTCAAGTCACAGAATTGAACATCCCCTCACATAGAGCAGTTGTGCAGCACTCTATTTGTAGTATCTGGAAGTGGACATTTGGAGGGCTTTGTAGCCTATCTGGAAAAAGGAAATATCTTCCCATGAATGCGAGATAGAAGTAATCTCAGAAACATGTTTATGCTGTATCTACTCAACTAACTGTGCTGAACATTTCTATTGATAGAGCAGTTTTGAGACACTCTTCTTTTGGAATCTGCAAGTGGATATTTGGAGAGATTTGAGGATTTCGTTGGAAACGGGATTATATATAAAAAGTAGACAGCAGCATTCTCAGAAACTTCTTTGTGATGTTTGCATCCAGCTCTCAGAGTTGAACATTCCCTTTCATAGAGTAGGTTTGAAACCCTCTTTTTATAGTGTCTGGAAGCGGGCATTTGGAGCGCTTTCAGACCTATGCTTAAAATAGGAAATATCTACCTACAGAAACTAGACAGAAGCATTCTGAGAATCACGTTTGTGATGTGGGTACTCAACTAACAGTGTTGATCCATTCTTTTGATACAGCAGTTTTGAACCACACTTTTTGTAGAATCTGCAAGTGGATATTTGGATAGCTGTGAGGATTTCGTTGGAAACGGGAATGTCTTCATAGAAAATTTAGACAGAAGCATTCTCAGAACCTTGATTGTGATGTGTGTTCTCCACTAACAGAGTTGAACCTTTCTTTTGACAGAAATGTTCTGAAACATTCTTTTTATAGAATCTGGAAGTGGATATTTGGAAAGCTTTGAGGATTTCGTTGGAAACGAGAATATCTTCAAATAAAATCTAGCCAGAAGCATTCTAAGAAACATCTTAGGGATGTTTACATTCAAGTCACAGAGTTGAACATTCCCTTTCACAGAGCAGGTTTGAAACAATCTTCTCGTACTATCTGGCAGTGGACATTTTGAGCTCCTTGGGGCCTATGCTGAAAAAGGAAATATCTTCCGACAAAAACTAGACAGAAGCATTCGCAGAATCACGTTTGTGATGTGTGCACTCAACTGTCAGAATTGAACCTTGGTTTGGACAGAGCACTTTTGAAACACTCTTTTTGTAGAATCTGCAGGTGGATATTTGGCTAGCTTTGAGGATTTCGTTGGAAACGGTAATGTCTTCAAAGAAAATCTAGACAGAAGCATTCTCAGAAACACCTTCGTGATGTTTGCAATCAAGTCACAGAGTTGAACCTTCCGTTTCATAGAGCAGGTTGGAAACACTCTTTTTGTAGTATCTGGAAGTGGACATTTGGAGGGCTTTTTAGCCTATCTGGAAAAAGGAAATATCTTCCCATGAATGCGAGATAGAAGTAATCTCAGAAACATGTTTATGCTGTATCTACTCAACTAACTGTGCTGAGCATTTCTATTGATAGAGCAGTTTTGAGACACTCTTCTTTTGGAATCTGCAAGTGGATATTTGGATAGATTTGAGGATTTCGTTGGAAACGGGATTATATATAAAAAGTAGACAGCAGCATTCTCAGAAACTTCTTTGTGATGTTTGCATCCAGCTCTCAGAGTTGAACATTCCCTTTCATAGAGTAGGTTTGAAACCCTCTTTTTATAGTGTCTGGAAGCGGGCATTTGGAGCGCTTTCAGGCCTATGCTTAAAATAGGAAATATCTACCTACAGAAACTAGACAGAAGCATTCTGAGAATCACGTTTGTGATGTGGGTACTCAACTAACAGTGTTGATCCATTCTTTTGATACAGCAGTTTTGAACCACACTTTTTGTAGAATCTGCAAGAGGATATTTGGATAGCTGTGAGGATTTCGTTGGAAACGGGAATGTCTTCAAAGAAAATCTAGACAGAAGCATTCTCAGAAACACCTTCGTGATGTTTGCAATCAAGTCACAGAGTTGAACCTTCCGTTTCATAGAGCAGGTTGGAAACACTCTTATTGTAGTATCTGGAAGTGGACATTTGGAGCGCTTTCAGGCCTATGGTGAAAAAGGAAATATCTTCCCATAAAAACGACATAGAAGCTATCTCAGGAACTTGTTTATGATGCATCTAATCAACTAACAGTGTTGAACCTTTGTACTGACAGAGCAGTTTGAAACACTCTTTTTTTGGAATCTGCAAGTGGATATTTGGATCGCTTTGAGGATTTCGTTGGAAACGGGATGCAATATAAAACGTACACAGCAGCATACTCAGAAAATACTTTGCCATATTTCCATTCAAGTCACAGAGTGGAACATTCCCATTCATAGAGCAGGTTGGAAACACTCTTTTTGGAGTATCTGGAAGTGGACATTTGGAGCGCTTTCTGAACTATGGTGAAAAAGGAAATATCTTCCAATGAAAACAAGACAGAAGCATTCTGAGAAACTTATTTGTGATGTGTGTCCTCAACAAACGGACTTGAACCTTTCGTTTCATGCAGTACTTCTGGAACACTCTTTTTGAAGATTCTGCATGCGGATATTTGGATAGCTTTGAGGATTTCGTTGGAAACGGGCTTACATGTAAAAATTAGACAGCAGCATTCTCAGAAACTTCTTTGTGGTGTCTGCATTCAAGTCACAGAATTGAACTTCCCCTCACATAGAGCAGTTGTGCAGCACTCTATTTGTAGTATCTGGAAGTGGACATTTGGAGGGCTTTGTAGCCTATCTGGAAAAAGGAAATATCTTCCCATGAATGCGAGATAGAAGTAATCTCAGAAACATGTTTATGCTGTATCTACTCAACTAACTGTGCTGAACATTTCTATTGATAGAGCAGTTTTGAGACACTCTTCTTTTGGAATCTGCAAGTGGATATTTGGATAGATTTGAGGATTTCGTTGGAAACGGGATTATATATAAAAAGTAGACAGCAGCATTCTCAGAAACTTCTTTGTGATGTTTGCATCCAGCTCCCAGAGTTGAACATTCCCTTTCATAGAGTAGGTTTGAAACCCTCTTTTTATAGTGTCTGGAAGCGGGCATTTGGAGCGCTTTCAGGCCTATGCTGAAAAAGGAAATATCTACCTATAGAAACTAGACAGAAGCATTCTGAGAATCACGTTTGTGATGTGGGTACTCAACTAACAGTGTTGATCCATTCTTTTGATACAGCAGTTTTGAACCACACTTTTTGTAGAATCTGCAAGTGGATATTTGGATAGCTGTGAGGATTTCGTTGGAAACGGGAATGTCTTCATAGAAAATTTAGACAGAAGCATTCTCAGAACCTTGATTGTGATGTGTGTTCTCCACTAACAGAGTTGAACCTTTCTTTTGACAGAACTGTTCTGAAACATTCTTTTTATAGAATCTGGAAGTGGATATTTGGAAAGCTTTGAGGATTTCGTTGGAAACGGGAATATCTTCAAATAAAATCTAGCCAGAAGCATTCTAAGAAACATCTTAGGGATGTTTACATTCAAGTCACAGAGTTGAACATTCCCTTTCACAGAGCAGGTTTGAAACAATCTTCTCGTACTATCTGGCAGTGGACATTTTGAGCTCCTTGGGGCCTATGCTGAAAAAGGAAATATCTTCCGACAAAAACTAGACAGAAGCATTCGCAGAATCACGTTTGTGATGTGTGCACTCAACTGTCAGAATTGAACCTTGGTTTGGACAGAGCACTTTTGAAACACTCTTTTTGTAGAATCTGCAGGTGGATATTTGGCTAGCTTTGAGGATTTCGTTGGAAACGGTAATGTCTTCAAAGAAAATGTAGACAGAAGCATTCTCAGAAACACCTTCGTGATGTTTGCAATCAAGTCACAGAGTTGAACCTTCCGTTTCATAGAGCAGGTTGGAAACACTCTTTTTGTAGTATCTGGAAGTGGACATTTGGAGCGCTTTCAGGCCTATGGTGAAAAAGGAAATATCTTCCCATAAAAACGACATAGAAGCTATCTCAGGAACTTGTTTATGATGCATCTAATCAACTAACAGTGTTGAACCTTTGTACTGACAGAGCAGTTTGAAACACTCTTTTTTTGGAATCTGCAAGTGGATATTTGGATCGCTTTGAGGATTTCGTTGGAAACGGGATGCAATATAAAACGTACACAGCAGCATACTCAGAAAATACTTTGCCATATTTCCATTCAAGTCACAGAGTGGAACATTCCCATTCATAGAGCAGGTTTGAAACACTCTTTTTGGAGTATCTGGAAGTGGACATTTGGAGCGCTTTCTGAACTATGGTGAAAAAGGAAATAACTTCCAATGAAAACAAGACAGAAGCATTCTGAGAAACTTATTTGTGATGTGTGTCCTCAACAAACGGACTTGAACCTTTCGTTTCATGCAGTACTTCTGGAACACTCTTTTTGAAGATTCTGCATGCGGATATTTGGATAGCTTTGAGGATTTCGTTGGAAACGGGCTTACATGTAAAAATTAGACAGCAGCATTCTCAGAAACTTCTTTGTGGTGTCTGCATTCAAGTCACAGAATTGAACTTCCCCTCACATAGAGCAGTTGTGCAGCACTCTATTTGTAGTATCTGGAAGTGGACATTTGGAGGGCTTTGTAGCCTATCTGGAAAAAGGAAATATCTTCCCATGAATGCGAGATAGAAGTAATCTCAGAAACATGTTTATGCTGTATCTACTCAACTAACTGTGCTGAACATTTCTATTGATAGAGCAGTTTTGAGACACTCTTCTTTTGGAATCTGCAAGTGGATATTTGGATAGATTTGAGGATTTCGTTGGAAACGGGATTATATATCAAAAGTAGACAGCAGCATTCTCAGAAACTTCTTTGTGATGTTTGCATCCAGCTCTCAGAGTTGAACATTCCCTTTCATAGAGTAGGTTTGAAACCCTCTTTTTATAGTGTCTGGAAGCGGGCATTTGGAGCGCTTTCAGGCCTATGCTTAAAATAGGAAATATCTACCTACAGAAACTAGACAGAAGCATTCTGAGAATCACGTTTGTGATGTGGGTACTCAACTAACAGTGTTGATCCATTCTTTTGATACAGCAGTTTTGAACCACACTTTTTGTAGAATCTGCAAGAGGATATTTGGATAGCTGTGAGGATTTCGTTGGAAACGGGAATGTCTTCAAAGAAAATCTAGACAGAAGCATTCTCAGAAACACCTTCGTGATGTTTGCAATCAAGTCACAGAGTTGAACCTTCCGTTTCATAGAGCAGGTTGGAAACACTCTTTTTGTAGTATCTGGAAGTGGACATTTGGAGTGCTTTCAGGCCTATGGTGAAAAAGGAAATATCTTCCCATAAAAACGACATAGAAGCTATCTCAGGAACTTGTTTATGATGCATCTAATCAACTAACAGTGTTGAACCTTTGTACTGACAGAGCAGTTTGAAACACTCTTTTTTTGGAATCTGCAAGTGGATATTTGGATCGCTTTGAGGATTTCGTTGGAAACGGGATGCAATATAAAACGTACACAGCAGCATACTCAGAAAATACTTTGCCATATTTCCATTCAAGTCACAGAGTGGAACATTCCCATTCATAGAGCAGGTTGGAAACACTCTTTTTGGAGTATCTGGAAGTGGACATTTGGAGCGCTTTCTGAACTATGGTGAAAAAGGAAATATCTTCCAATGAAAACAAGACAGAAGCATTCTGAGAAACTTATTTGTGATGTGTGTCCTCAACAAACGGACTTGAACCTTTCGTTTCATGCAGTACTTCTGGAACACTCTTTTTGAAGATTCTGCATGCGGATATTTGGATAGCTTTGAGGATTTCGTTGGAAACGGGCTTACATGTAAAAATTAGACAGCAGCATTCTCAGAAACTTCTTTGTGGTGTCTGCATTCAAGTCACAGAATTGAACTTCCCCTCACATAGAGCAGTTGTGCAGCACTCTATTTGTAGTATCTGGAAGTGGACATTTGGAGGGCTTTGTAGCCTATCTGGAAAAAGGAAATATCTTCCCATGAATGCGAGATAGAAGTAATCTGAGAAACATGTTTATGCTGTATCTACTCAACTAACTGTGCTGAACATTTCTATTGATAGAGCAGTTTTGAGACCCTCTTCTTTTGGAATCTGCAAGTGGATATTTGGATAGATTTGAGGATTTCGTTGGAAACGGGATTATATATAAAAAGTAGACAGCAGCATTCTCAGAAACTTCTTTGTGATGTTTGCATCCAGCTCTCAGAGTTGAACATTCCCTTTCATAGAGTAGGTTTGAAACCCTCTTTTTATAGTGTCTGGAAGCGGGCATTTGGAGCGCTTTCAGGCCTATGCTTAAAATAGGAAATATCTACCTACAGAAACTAGACAGAAGCATTCTGAGAATCACGTTTGTGATGTGGGTACTCAACTAACAGTGTTGATCCATTCTTTTGATACAGCAGTTTTGAACCACACTTTTTGTAGAATCTGCAAGAGGATATTTGGATAGCTGTGAGGATTTCGTTGGAAACGGGAATGTCTTCAAAGAAAATCTAGACAGAAGCATTCTCAGAAACACCTTCGTGATGTTTGCAATCAAGTCACAGAGTTGAACCTTCCGTTTCATAGAGCAGGTTGGAAACACTCTTATTGTAGTATCTGGAAGTGGACATTTGGAGCGCTTTCAGGCCTATGGTGAAAAAGGAAATATCTTCCCATAAAAACGACATAGAAGCTATCTCAGGAACTTGTTTATGATGCATCTAATCAACTAACAGTGTTGAACCTTTGTACTGACAGAGCAGTTTGAAACACTCTTTTTTTGGAATCTGCAAGTGGATATTTGGATCGCTTTGAGGATTTCGTTGGAAACGGGATGCAATATAAAACGTACACAGCAGCATACTCAGAAAATACTTTGCCATATTTCCATTCAAGTCACAGAGTGGAACATTCCCATTCATAGAGCAGGTTTGAAACACTCTTTTTGGAGTATCTGGAAGTGGACATTTGGAGCGCTTTCTGAACTATGGTGAAAAAGGAAATATCTTCCAATGAAAACAAGACAGAAGCATTCTGAGAAACTTATTTGTGATGTGTGTCCTCAACAAACGGACTTGAACCTTTCGTTTCATGCAGTACTTCTGGAACACTCTTTTTGAAGATTCTGCATGCGGATATTTGGATAGCTTTGAGGATTTCGTTGGAAACGGGCTTACATGTAAAAATTAGACAGCAGCATTCTCAGAAACTTCTTTGTGGTGTCTGCGTTCAAGTCACAGAATTGAACATCCCCTCACCATAGAGCAGTTGTGCAGCACTCTATTTGTAGTATCTGGAAGTGGACATTTGGAGGGCTTTGTAGCCTATCTGGAAAAAGGAAATATCTTCCCATGAATGCGAGATAGAAGTAATCTCAGAAACATGTTTATGCTGTATCTACTCAACTAACTGTGCTGAACATTTCTATTGATAGAGCAGTTTTGAGACACTCTTCTTTTGGAATCTGCAAGTGGATATTTGGATAGATTTGAGGATTTCGTTGGAAACGGGATTATATATAAAAAGTAGACAGCAGCATTCTCAGAAACTTCTTTGTGATGTTTGCATCCAGCTCTCAGAGTTGAACATTCCCTTTCATAGAGTAGGTTTGAAACCCTCTTTTTATAGTGTCTGGAAGCGGGCATTTGGAGCGCTTTCAGGCCTATGCTTAAAATAGGAAATATCTACCTACAGAAACTAGACAGAAGCATTCTGAGAATCACGTTTGTGATGTGGGTACTCAACTAACAGTGTTGATCCATTCTTTTGATACAGCAGTTTTGAACCACACTTTTTGTAGAATCTGCAAGAGGATATTTGGATAGCTGTGAGGATTTCGTTGGAAACGGGAATGTCTTCAAAGAAAATCTAGACAGAAGCATTCTCAGAAACACCTTCGTGATGTTTGCAATCAAGTCACAGAGTTGAACCTTCCGTTTCATAGAGCAGGTTGGAAACACTCTTATTGTAGTATCTGGAAGTGGACATTTGGAGCGCTTTCAGGCCTATGGTGAAAAAGGAAATATCTTCCCATAAAAACGACATAGAATCTATATCAGGAACTTGTTTATGATGCATCTAATCAACTAACAGTGTTGAACCTTTGTACTGACAGAGCAGTTTGAAACACTCTTTTTTTGGAATCTGCAAGTGGATATTTGGATCGCTTTGAGGATTTCGTTGGAAACGGGATGCAATATAAAACGTACACAGCAGCATACTCAGAAAATACTTTGCCATATTTCCATTCAAGTCACAGAGTGGAACATTCCCATTCATAGAGCAGGTTGGAAACACTCTTTTTGGAGTATCTGGAAGTGGACATTTGGAGCGCTTTCTGAACTATGGTGAAAAAGGAAATATCTTCCAATGAAAACAAGACAGAAGCATTCTGAGAAACTTATTTGTGATGTGTGTCCTCAACAAACGGACTTGAACCTTTCGTTTCATGCAGTACTTCTGGAACACTCTTTTTGAAGATTCTGCATGCGGATATTTGGATAGCTTTGAGGATTTCGTTGGAAACGGTCTTACATGTAAAAATTAGACAGCAGCATTCTCAGAAACTTCTTTGTGGTGTCTGCATTCAAGTCACAGAATTGAACTTCCCCTCACATAGAGCAGTTGTGCAGCACTCTATTTGTAGTATCTGGAAGTGGACATTTGGAGGGCTTTGTAGCCTATCTGGAAAAAGGAAATATCTTCCCATGAATGCGAGATAGAAGTAATCTGAGAAACATGTTTATGCTGTATCTACTCAACTAACTGTGCTGAACATTTCTATTGATAGAGCAGTTTTGAGACACTCTTCTTTTGGAATCTGCAAGTGGATATTTGGATAGATTTGAGGATTTCGTTGGAAACGGGATTATATATAAAAAGTAGACAGCAGCATTCTCAGAAACTTCTTTGTGATGTTTGCATCCAGCTCTCAGAGTTGAACATTCCCTTTCATAGAGTAGGTTTGAAACCCTCTTTTTGTAGTGTCTGGAAGCGGGCATTTGGAGCGCTTTCAGGCCTATGTTTAAAATAGGAAATATCTACCTACAGAAACTAGACAGAAGCATTCTGAGAATCACGTTTGTGATGTGGGTACTCAACTAACAGTGTTGATCCATTCTTTTGATACAGCAGTTTTGAACCACACTTTTTGTAGAATCTGCAAGAGGATATTTGGATAGCTGTGAGGATTTCGTTGGAAACGGGGATGTCTTCAAAGAAAATCTAGACAGAAGCATTCTCAGAAACACCTTCGTGATGTTTGCAATCAAGTCACAGAGTTGAACCTTCCGTTTCATAGAGCAGGTTGGAAACACTCTTATTGTAGTATCTGGAAGTGGACATTTGGAGCGCTTTCAGGCCTATGGTGAAAAAGGAAATATCTTCCCATAAAAACGACATAGAAGCTATCTCAGGAACTTGTTTATGATGCATCTAATCAACTAACAGTGTTGAACCTTTGTACTGACAGAGCAGTTTGAAACACTCTTTTTTTGGAATCTGCAAGTGGATATTTGGATCGCTTTGAGGATTTCGTTGGAAACGGGATGCAATATAAAACGTACACAGCAGCATACTCAGAAAATACTTTGCCATATTTCCATTCAAGTCACAGAGTGGAACATTCCCATTCATAGAGCAGGTTGGAAACACTCTTTTTGGAGTATCTGGAAGTGGACATTTGGAGCGCTTTCTGAACTATGGTGAAAAAGGAAATATCTTCCAATGAAAACAAGACAGAAGCATTCTGAGAAACTTATTTGTGATGTGTGTCCTCAACAAACGGACTTGAACCTTTCGTTTCATGCAGTACTTCTGGAACACTCTTTTTGAAGATTCTGCATGCGGATATTTGGATAGCTTTGAGGATTTCGTTGGAAACGGGCTTACATGTAAAAATTAGACAGCAGCATTCTCAGAAACTTCTTTGTGGTGTCTGCATTCAAGTCACAGAATTGAACTTCCCCTCACATAGAGCAGTTGTGCAGCACTCTATTTGTAGTATCTGGAAGTGGACATTTGGAGGGCTTTGTAGCCTATCTGGAAAAAGGAAATATCTTCCCATGAATGCGAGATAGAAGTAATCTCAGAAACATGTTTATGCTGTATCTACTCAACTAACTGTGCTGAACATTTCTATTGATAGAGCAGTTTTGAGACACTCTTCTTTTGGAATCTGCAAGTGGATATTTGGATAGATTTGAGGATTTCGTTGGAAACGGGATTATATATAAAAAGTAGACAGCAGCATTCTCAGAAACTTCTTTGTGATGTTTGCATCCAGCTCTCAGAGTTGAACATTCCCTTTCATAGAGTAGGTTTGAAACCCTCTTTTTATAGTGTCTGGAAGCGGGCATTTGGAGCGCTTTCAGGCCTATGCTGAAAAAGGAAATATCTACCTATAGAAACTAGACAGAAGCATTCTGAGAATCACGTTTGTGATGTGGGTACTCAACTAACAGTGTTGATCCATTCTTTTGATACAGCAGTTTTGAACCACACTTTTTGTAGAATCTGCAAGTGGATATTTGGATAGCTGTGAGGATTTCGTTGGAAACGGGAATGTCTTCATAGAAAATTTAGACAGAAGCATTCTCAGAACCTTGATTGTGATGTGTGTTCTCCACTAACAGAGTTGAACCTTTCTTTTGACAGAACTGTTCTGAAACATTCTTTTTATAGAATCTGGAAGTGGATATTTGGAAAGCTTTGAGGATTTCGTTGGAAACGGGAATATCTTCAAATAAAATCTAGCCAGAAGCATTCTAAGAAACAGCTTAGGGATGTTTACATTCAAGTCACAGAGTTGAACATTCCCTTTCACAGAGCAGGTTTGAAACAATCTTCTCGTACTATCTGGCAGTGGACATTTTGAGCTCCTTGGGGCCTATGCTGAAAAAGGAAATATCTTCCGACAAAAACTAGACAGAAGCATTCGCAGAATCACGTTTGTGATGTGTGCACTCAACTGTCAGAATTGAACCTTGGTTTGGACAGAGCACTCTTGAAACACTCTTTTTGTAGAATCTGCAGGTGGATATTTGGCTAGCTTTGAGGATTTCGTTGGAAACGGTAATGTCTTCAAAGAAAATCTAGACAGAAGCATTCTCAGAAACACCTTCGTGATGTTTGCAATCAAGTCACAGAGTTGAACCTTCCGTTTCATAGAGCAGGTTGGAAACACTCTTTTTGTAGTATCTGGAAGTGGACATTTGGAGTGCTTTCAGGCCTATGGTGAAAAAGGAAATATCTTCCCATAAAAACGACATAGAAGCTATCTCAGGAACTTGTTTATGATGCATCTAATCAACTAACAGTGTTGAACCTTTGTACTGACAGAGCAGTTTGAAACACTCTTTTTTTGGAATCTGCAAGTGGATATTTGGATCGCTTTGAGGATTTCGTTGGAAACGGGATGCAATATAAAACGTACACAGCAGCATACTCAGAAAATACTTTGCCATATTTCCATTCAAGTCACAGAGTGGAACATTCCCATTCATAGAGCAGGTTGGAAACACTCTTTTTGGAGTATCTGGAAGTGGACATTTGGAGCGCTTTCTGAACTATGGTGAAAAAGGAAATATCTTCCAATGAAAACAAGACAGAAGCATTCTGAGAAACTTATTTGTGATGTGTGTCCTCAACAAACGGACTTGAACCTTTCGTTTCATGCAGTACTTCTGGAACACTCTTTTTGAAGATTCTGCATGCGGATATTTGGATAGCTTTGAGGATTTCGTTGGAAACGGGCTTACATGTAAAAATTAGACAGCAGCATTCTCAGAAACTTCTTTGTGGTGTCTGCATTCAAGTCACAGAATTGAACTTCCCCTCACATAGAGCAGTTGTGCAGCACTCTATTTGTAGTATCTGGAAGTGGACATTTGGAGGGCTTTGTAGCCTATCTGGAAAAAGGAAATATCTTCCCATGAATGCGAGATAGAAGTAATCTCAGAAACATGTTTATGCTGTATCTACTCAACTAACTGTGCTGAACATTTCTATTGATAGAGCAGTTTTGAGACCCTCTTCTTTTGGAATCTGCAAGTGGATATTTGGATAGATTTGAGGATTTCGTTGGAAACGGGATTATATATAAAAAGTAGACAGCAGCATTCTCAGAAACTTCTTTGTGATGTTTGCATCCAGCTCTCAGAGTTGAACATTCCCTTTCATAGAGTAGGTTTGAAACCCTCTTTTTATAGTGTCTGGAAGCGGGCATTTGGAGCGCTTTCAGGCCTATGCTGAAAAAGGAAATATCTACCTATAGAAACTAGACAGAAGCATTCTGAGAATCACGTTTGTGATGTGGGTACTCAACTAACAGTGTTGATCCATTCTTTTGATACAGCAGTTTTGAACCACACTTTTTGTAGAATCTGCAAGTGGATATTTGGATAGCTGTGAGGATTTCGTTGGAAACGGGAATGTCTTCATAGAAAATTTAGACAGAAGCATTCTCAGAACCTTGATTGTGATGTGTGTTCTCCACTAACAGAGTTGAACCTTTCTTTTGACAGAACTGTTCTGAAACATTCTTTTTATAGAATCTGGAAGTGGATATTTGGAAAGCTTTGAGGATTTCGTTGGAAACGGGAATATCTTCAAATAAAATCTAGCCAGAAGCATTCTAAGAAACATCTTAGGGATGTTTACATTCAAGTCACAGAGTTGAACATTCCCTTTCACAGAGCAGGTTTGAAACAATCTTCTCGTACTATCTGGCAGTGGACATTTTGAGCTCCTTGGGGCCTATGCTGAAAAAGGAAATATCTTCCGACAAAAACTAGACAGAAGCATTCGCAGAATCACGTTTGTGATGTGTGCACTCAACTGTCAGAATTGAACCTTGGTTTGGACAGAGCACTTTTGAAACACTCTTTTTGTAGAATCTGCAGGTGGATATTTGGCTAGCTTTGAGGATTTCGTTGGAAACGGTAATGTCTTCAAAGAAAATCTAGACAGAAGCATTCTCAGAAACACCTTCGTGATGTTTGCAATCAAGTCACAGAGTTGAACCTTCCGTTTCATAGAGCAGGTTGGAAACACTCTTTTTGTAGTATCTGGAAGTGGACATTTGGAGGGCTTTGTAGCCTATCTGGAAAAAGGAAATATCTTCCCATGAATGCGAGATAGAAGTAATCTCAGAAACATGTTTATGCTGTATCTACTCAACTAACTGTGCTGAACATTTCTATTGATAGAGCAGTTTTGAGACACTCTTCTTTTGGAATCTGCAAGTGGATATTTGGATAGATTTGAGGATTTCGTTGGAAACGGGATTATATATCAAAAGTAGACAGCCGCATTCTCAGAAACTTCTTTGTGATGTTTGCATCCAGCTCTCAGAGTTGAACATTCCCTTTCGTAGAGTAGGTTTGAAACCCTCTTTTTATAGTGTCTGGAAGTGGGCATTTGGAGCGCTTTCAGGCCTATGCTGAAAAAGGAAATATCTACCTATAGAAACTAGACAGAAGCATTCTGAGAATCACGTTTGTGATGTGGGTACTCAACTAACAGTGTTGATTCATTCTTTTGATACAGCAGTTTTGAACCACACTTTTTGTAGAATCTGCAAGTGGATATTTGGATAGCTGTGAGGATTTCCTTGGAAACGGGAATGTCTTCATAGAAAATTTAGACAGAAGCATTCTCAGAACCTTGATTGTGATGTGTGTTCTCCACTAACAGGGTTGAACCTTTCTTTTGACAGAACTGTTCTGAAACATTCTTTGTATAGAATCTGGAAGTGGATATTTGGAAAGCTTTGAGGATTTCGTTTGAAACGGGAATATCTTCAAATCAAATCTAGCCAGAAGCATTCTAAGAAACATCTTAGGGATGTTTACATTCAAGTCACAGAGTTGAACATTCCCTTTCACAGAGCAGGTTTGAAACAATCTTCTCGTAGTATCTGGAAGTGGACATTTTGAGCTCCTTGGGGCCTATGCTGAAAAAGGAAATATCTTCCGACAAAAACTAGACAGAAGCATTCACAGAATCACGTTTGTGATGTGTGCACTCAACTGTCGGAATTGAACCTTTGTTTGGACAGAGCACTTCTGAAACACTCTTTTTGTAGAATCTGCAGGTGGATATTTGGCTAGCTTTGAGGATTTCGTTGGAAACGGTAATGTCTTCAAAGAAAATCTAGACAGAAACATTCTCAGAAACACCTTCGTGATGTTTGCAATCAAGTCACAGAGTTGAACCTTCCGTTTCATAGAGCAGGTTGGAAACACTCTTTTTGTAGTATCTGGAAGTGGACATTTGGAGCGCTTTCAGGCCTATGGTGAAAAAGGAAATATCTTCCCATAAAAACGACATAGAATCTATCTCAGGAACTTGTTTATGACGCATCTAATCAACTAACAGTGTTGAACCTTTGTACTGACAGAGCCGTTTGAAACACTCTTTTTTTTGGAATCTGCAAGTGGATATTTGGATCGCTTTGAGGATTTCGTTGGAAACGGGATGCAATATAAAACGTACACAGCAGCATACTCAGAAAATACTTTGCCATATTTCCATTCAAGTCACAGAGTGGAACATTCCCATTCATAGAGCAGGTTTGAAACAGTCTTTTTGGAGTATCTGGAAGTGGACATTTGGAGCGCTTTCTGAACTATGGTGAAAAAGGAAATATCTTCCAATGAAAACAAGACAGAAGCATTCTGAGAAACTTATTTGTGATGTGTGTCCTCAACAAACGGACTTGAACCTTTCGTTTCATGCAGTACTTCTGGAACACTCTTTTTGAAGATTCTGCATGCGGATATTTGGATAGCTTTGAGGATTTCGTTGGAAACGGGCTTACATGTAAAAATTAGACAGCAGCATTCTCTGAAACTTCTTTGTGGTGTCTGCATTCAAGTCACAGAATTGAACTTCCCCTCACATAGAGCAGTTGTGCAGCACTCTATTTGTAGTATCTCGAAGTGGACATTTGGAGGGCTTTGTAGCCTATCTGGAAAAAGGAAATATCTTCCCATGAATGCGAGATAGAAGTAATCTCAGAAACATGTTTATGCTGTATCTACTCAACTAACTGTGCTGAACATTTCTATTGATAGAGCAGTTTTGAGACACTCTTCTTTTGGAATCTGCAAGTGGATATTTGGATAGATTTGAGGATTTCGTTGGAAACGGGATTATATATAAAAAGTAGACAGCAGCATTCTCAGAAACTTCTTTGTGATGTTTGCATCCAGCTCTCAGAGTTGAACATTCCCTTTCATAGAGTAGGTTTGAAACCCTCTTTTTATAGTGTCTGGAAGCGGGCATTTGGAGCGCTTTCAGGCCTATGCTGAAAAAGGAAATATCTACCTATAGAAACTAGACAGAAGCATTCTGAGAATCACGTTTGTGATGTGGGTACTCAACTAACAGTGTTGATCCATTCTTTTGATACAGCAGTTTTGAACCACACTTTTTGTAGAATCTGCAAGTGGATATTTGGATAGCTGTGAGGATTTCGTTGGAAACGGGAATGTCTTCATAGAAAATTTAGACAGAAGCATTCTCAGAACCTTGATTGTGATGTGTGTTCTCCACTAACAGAGTTGAACCTTTCTTTTGACAGAACTGTTCTGAAACATTCTTTTTATAGAATCTGGAAGTGGATATTTGGAAAGCTTTGAGGATTTCGTTGGAAACGGGAATATCTTCAAATCAAATCTAGCCAGAAGCATTCTAAGAAACATCTTAGGGATGTTTACATTCAAGTCACAGAGTTGAACATTCCCTTTCACAGAGCAGGTTTGAAACAATCTTCTCGTACTATCTGGCAGTGGACATTTTGAGCTCCTTGGGGCCTATGTTGAAAAAGGAAATATCTTCCGACAAAAACTAGACAGAAGCATTCGCAGAATCACGTTTGTGATGTGTGCACTAAACTGTCAGAATTGAACCTTGGTTTGGACAGAGCACTTTTGAAACACTCTCTTTGCAGAATCTGCAGGTGGATATTTGGCTAGCTTTGAGGATTTCGTTGGAAACGGTAATGTCTTCAAAGAAAATCTAGACAGAAGCATTCTCAGAAACACCTTCGTGATGTTTGCAATCAAGTCACAGAGTTGAACCTTCCGTTTCATAGAGCAGGTTGGAAACACTCTTTTTGTAGTATCTGGAAGTGGACATTTGGAGGGCTTTGTAGCCTATGTGGAAAAAGGAAATATCTTCCCATGAATGCGAGATAGAAGTAATCTCAGAAACATGTTTATGCTGTATCTACTCAACTAACTGTGCTGAACATTTCTATTGATAGAGCAGTTTTGAGACACTCTTCTTTTGGAATCTGCAAGTGGATATTTGGAGAGATTTGAGGATTTCGTTGGAAACGGGATTATATATCAAAAGTAGACAGCAGCATTCTCAGAAACTTCTTTGTGATGTTTGCATCCAGCTCTCAGAGTTGAACATTCCCTTTCATAGAGTAGGTTTGAAACCCTCTTTTTATAGTGTCTGGAAGCGGGCATTTGGAGCGCTTTCAGGCCTATGCTTAAAATAGGAAATATCTACCTACAGAAACTAGACAGAAGCATTCTGAGAATCACGTTTGTGATGTGGGTACTCAACTAACAGTGTTGATCCATTCTTTTGATACAGCAGTTTTGAACCACACTTTTTGTAGAATCTGCAAGAGGATATTTGGATAGCTGTGAGGATTTCGTTGGAAACGGGAATGTCTTCAAAGAAAATCTAGACAGAAGCATTCTCAGAAACACCTTCGTGATGTTTGCAATCAAGTCACAGAGTTGAACCTTCCGTTTCATAGAGCAGGTTGGAAACACTCTTATTGTAGTATCTGGAAGTGGACATTTGGAGCGCTTTCAGGCCTATGGTGAAAAAGGAAATATCTTCCCATCAAAACGACATAGAAGCTATCTCAGGAACTTGTTTATGATGCATCTAATCAACTAACAGTGTTGAACCTTTGTACTGACAGAGCACTTTGAAACACTCTTTTTTTGGAATCTGCAAGTGGATATTTGGATCGCTTTGAGGATTTCGTTGGAAACGGGATGCAATATAAAACGTACACAGCAGCATACTCAGAAAATACTTTGCCATATTTCCATTCAAGTCACAGAGTGGAACATTCCCATTCATAGAGCAGGTTGGAAACACTCTTTTTGGAGTATCTGGAAGTGGACATTTGGAGCGCTTTCTGAACTATGGTGAAAAAGGAAATATCTTCCAATGAAAACAAGACAGAAGCATTCTGAGAAACTTATTTGTGATGTGTGTCCTCAACAAACGGACTTGAACCTTTCGTTTCATGCAGTACTTCTGGAACACTCTTTTTGAAGATTCTGCATGCGGATATTTGGATAGCTTTGAGGATTTCGTTGGAAACGGGCTTACATGTAAAAATTAGACAGCAGCATTCTCAGAAACTTCTTTGTGGTGTCTGCATTCAAGTCACAGAATTGAACTTCCCCTCACATAGAGCAGTTGTGCAGCACTCTATTTGTAGTATCTGGAAGTGGACATTTGGAGGGCTTTGTAGCCTATCTGGAAAAAGGAAATATCTTCCCATGAATGCGAGATAGAAGTAATCTCAGAAACATGTTTATGCTGTATCTACTCAACTAACTGTGCTGAACATTTCTATTGATAGAGCAGTTTTGAGACACTCTTCTTTTGGAATCTGCAAGTGGATATTTGGATAGATTTGAGGATTTCGTTGGAAACGGGATTATATATAAAAAGTAGACAGCAGCATTCTCAGAAACTTCTTTGTGATGTTTGCATCCAGCTCTCAGAGTTGAACATTCCCTTTCATAGAGTAGGTTTGAAACCCTCTTTTTATAGTGTCTGGAAGCGGGCATTTGGAGCGCTTTCAGACCTATGCTTAAAATAGGAAATATCTACCTACAGAAACTAGACAGAAGCATTCTGAGAATCTCGTTTGTGATGTGGGTACTCAACTAACAGTGTTGATCCATTCTTTTGATACAGCAGTTTTGAACCACACTTTTTGTAGAATCTGCAAGAGGATATTTGGATAGCTGTGAGGATTTCGTTGGAAACGGGAATGTCTTCAAAGAAAATCTAGACAGAAACATTCTCAGAAACACCTTCGTGATGTTTGCAATCAAGTCACAGAGTTGAACCTTCCGTTTCATAGAGCAGGTTGGAAACACTCTTATTGTAGTATCTGGAAGTGGACATTTGGAGCGCTTTCAGGCCTATGGTGAAAAAGGAAATATCTTCCCATAAAAGCGACATAGAAGCTATCTCAGGAACTTGTTTATGAGGCATCTAATCAACTAACAGTGTTGAACCTTTGTACTGACAGAGCAGTTTGAAACACTCTTTTTTTGGAATCTGCAAGTGGATATTTGGATCGCTTTGAGGATTTCGTTGGAAACGGGATGCAATATAAAACGTACACAGCAGCATACTCAGAAAATACTTTGCCATATTTCCATTCAAGTCACAGAGTGGAACATTCCCATTCATAGAGCAGGTTGGAAACACTCTTTTTGGAGTATCTGGAAGTGGACATTTGGAGCGCTTTCTGAACTATGGTGAAAAAGGAAATATCTTCCAATGAAAACAAGACAGAAGCATTCTGAGAAACTTATTTGTGATGTGTGTCCTCAACAAACGGACTTGAACCTTTCGTTTCATGCAGTACTTCTGGAACACTCTTTTTGAAGATTCTGCATGCGGATATTTGGATAGCTTTGAGGATTTCGTTGGAAACGGGCTTACATGTAAAAATTAGACAGCAGCATTCTCAGAAACTTCTTTGTGGTGTCTGCATTCAAGTCACAGAATTGAACATCCCCTCACATAGAGCAGTTGTGCAGCACTCTATTTGTAGTATCTGGAAGTGGACATTTGGAGGGCTTTGTAGCCTATGTGGAAAAAGGAAATATCTTCCCATGAATGCGAGATAGAAGTAATCTCAGAAACATGTTTATGCTGTATCTACTCAACTAACTGTGCTGAACATTTCTATTGATAGAGCAGTTTTGAGACACTCTTCTTTTGGAATCTGCAAGTGGATATTTGGATAGATTTGAGGATTTCGTTGGAAACGGGATTATATATAAAAAGTAGACAGCAGCATTCTCAGAAACTTCTTTGTGATGTTTGCATCCAGCTCTCAGAGTTGAACATTCCCTTTCATAGAGTAGGTTTGAAACCCTCTTTTTATAGTGTCTGGAAGCGGACATTTGGAGCGCTTTCAGGCCTATGCTGAAAAAGGAAATATCTACCTATAGAAACTAGACAGAAGCATTCTGGAATCACGTTTGTGATGTGGGTACTCAACTAACAGTGTTGATCCATTCTTTTGATACAGCAGTTTTGAACCACACTTTTTGTAGAATCTGCAAGTGGATATTTGGATAGCTGTGAGGATTTCGTTGGAAACGGGAATGTCTTCATAGAAAATTTAGACAGAAGCATTCTCAGAACCTTGATTGTGGTGTGTGTTCTCCACTAACAGAGTTGAACCTTTCTTTTGACAGAACTGTTCTGAAACATTCTTTTTATAGAATCTGGAAGTGGATATTTGGAAAGCTTTGAGGATTTCATTGGAAACGGGAATATCTTCAAATAAAATCTAGCCAGAAGCATTCTAAGAAACATCTTAGGGATGTTTACATTCAAGTCACAGAGTTGAACATTCCCTTTCACAGAGCAGGTTTGAAACAATCTTCTCGTACTATCTGGCAGTGGACATTTTGAGCTCCTTGGGGCCTATGCTGAAAAAGGAAATATCTTCCGACAAAAACTAGACAGAAGCATTCGCAGAATCACGTTTGTGATGTGTGCACTCAACTGTCAGAATTGAACCTTGGTTTGGACAGAGCACTTTTGAAACACTCTTTTTGTAGAATCTGCAGGTGGATATTTGGCTAGCTTTGAGGATTTCGTTGGAAACGGTAATGTCTTCAAAGAAAATCTAGACAGAAGCATTCTCAGAAACACCTTCGTGATGTTTGCAATCAAGTCACAGAGTTGAACCTTCCGTTTCATAGAGCAGGTTGGAAACACTCTTTGTAGTATCTGGAAGTGGACATTTGGAGGGCTTTGTAGCCTATCTGGAAAAAGGAAATATCTTCCCATGAATGCGAGATAGAAGTAATCTCAGAAACATGTTTATGCTGTATCTACTCAACTAACTGTGCTGAACATTTCTGTTGATAGAGCAGTTTTGAGACACTCTTCTTTTGGAATCTGCAAGTGGATATTTGGATAGATTTGAGGATTTCGTTGGAAACGGGATTATATATAAAAAGTAGACAGCAGCATTCTCAGAAACTTCTTTGTGATGTTTGCATCCAGCTCTCAGAGTTGAACATTCCCTTTCATAGAGTAGGTTTGAAACCCTCTTTTTATAGTGTCTGGAAGCGGGCATTTGGAGCGCTTTCAGGCCTATGCTGAAAAAGGAAATATCTACCTATAGAAACTAGACAGAAGCATTCTGAGAATCACGTTTGTGATGTGGGTACTCAACTAACAGTGTTGATCCATTCTTTTGATACAGCAGTTTTGAACCACACTTTTTGTAGAATCTGCAAGTGGATATTTGGATAGCTGTGAGGATTTCGTTGGAAACGGGAATGTCTTCATAGAAAATTTAGACAGAAGCATTCTCAGAACCTTGATTGTGATGTGTGTTCTCCACTAACAGAGTTGAACCTTTCTTTTGACAGAACTGTTCTGAAACATTCTTTTTATAGAATCTGGAAGTGGATATTTGGAAAGCTTTGAGGATTTCGTTGGAAACGGGAATATCTTCAAATCAAATCTAGCCAGAAGCATTCTAAGAAACATCTTAGGGATGTTTACATTCAAGTCACAGAGTTGAACATTCCCTTTCACAGAGCAGGTTTGAAACAATCTTCTCGTACTATCTGGCAGTGGACATTTTGAGCTCCTTGGGGCCTATGCTGAAAAAGGAAATATCTTCCGACAAAAACTAGACAGAAGCATTCGCAGAATCACGTTTGTGATGTGTGCACTCAACTGTCAGAATTGAACCTTGGTTTGGACAGAGCACTTTTGAAACACTCTTTTTGTAGAATCTGCAGGTGGATATTTGGCTAGCTTTGAGGATTTCGTTGGAAACGGTAATGTCTTCAAAGAAAATCTAGACAGAAGCATTCTCAGAAACACCTTCGTGATGTTTGCAATCAAGTCACAGAGTTGAACCTTCCGTTTCATAGAGCAGGTTGGAAACACTCTTTTTGTAGTATCTGGAAGTGGACATTTGGAGGGCTTTGTAGCCTATCTGGAAAAAGGAAATATCTTCCCATGAATGCGAGATAGAAAGTAATCTCAGCAAACATGTTTATGCTGTATCTACTCAACTAACTGTGCTGAACATTTCTATTGATAGAGCAGTTTTGAGACACTCTTCTTTTGGAATCTGCAAGTGGATATTTGGAGAGATTTGAGGATTTCGTTGGAAACGGGATTATATATAAAAAGTAGACAGCAGCATTCTCAGAAACTTCTTTGTGATGTTTGCATCCAGCTCTCAGAGTTGAACATTCCCTTTCATAGAGTAGGTTTGAAACCCTCTTTTTATAGTGTATGGAAGCGGGCATTTGGAGCGCTTTCAGGCCTATGCTTAAAATAGGAAATATCTACCTACAGAAACTAGACAGAAGCATTCTGAGAATCACGTTTGTGATGTGGGTACTCAACTAAGAGTGTTGATCCATTCTTTTGATACAGCAGTTTTGAACCACACTTTTTGTAGAATCTGCAAGAGGATATTTGGATAGCTGTGAGGATTTCGTTGGAAACGGGAATGTCTTCAAAGAAAATCTAGACAGAAGCATTCTCAGAAACACCTTCGTGATGTTTGCAATCAAGTCACAGAGTTGAACCTTCCGTTTCATAGAGCAGGTTGGAAACACTCTTATTGTAGTATCTGGAAGTGGACATTTGGAGCGCTTTCAGGCCTATGGTGAAAAAGGAAATATCTTCCCATAAAAACGACATAGAAGCTATCTCAGGAACTTGTTTATGATGCATCTAATCAACTAACAGTGTTGAACCTTTGTACTGACAGAGCACTTTGAAACACTCTTTTTTTGGAATCTGCAAGTGGATATTTGGATCGCTTTGAGGATTTCGTTGGAAACGGGATGCAATATAAAACGGTACACAGCAGCATACTCAGAAAATACTTTGCCATATTTCCATTCAAGTCACAGAGTGGAACATTCCCATTCATAGAGCAGGTTTGAAACACTCTTTTTGGAGTATCTGGAAGTGGACATTTGGAGCGCTTTCTGAACTATGGTGAAAAAGGAAATATCTTCCAATGAAAACAAGACAGAAGCATTCTGAGAAACTTATTTGTGATGTGTGTCCTCAACAAACGGACTTGAACCTTTCGTTTCATGCAGTACTTCTGGAACACTCTTTTTGAAGATTCTGCATGCGGATATTTGGATAGCTTTGAGGATTTCGTTGGAAACGGGCTTACATGTAAAAATTAGACAGCAGCATTCTCAGAAACTTCTTTGTGGTGTCTGCATCCAAGTCACAGAATTGAACTTCCCCTCACATAGAGCAGTTGTGCAGCACTCTATTTGTAGTATCTGGAAGTGGACATTTGGAGGGCTTTGTAGCCTATCTGGAAAAAGGAAATATCTTCCCATGAATGCGAGATAGAAGTAATCTCAGAAACATGTTTATGCTGTATCTACTCAACTAACTGTGCTGAACATTTCTATTGATAGAGCAGTTTTGAGACACTCTTCTTTTGGAATCTGCAAGTGGATATTTGGATAGATTTGAGGATTTCGTTGGAAACGGGATTATATATAAAAAGTAGACAGCAGCATTCTCAGAAACTTCTTTGTGATGTTTGCATCCAGCTCTCAGAGTTGAACATTCCCTTTCATAGAGTAGGTTTGAAACCCTCTTTTTATAGTGTCTGGAAGCGGGCATTTGGAGCGCTTTCAGGCCTATGCTTAAAATAGGAAATATCTACCTACAGAAACTAGACAGAAGCATTCTGAGAATCACGTTTGTGATGTGGGTACTCAACTAACAGTGTTGATCCATTCTTTTGATACAGCAGTTTTGAACCACACTTTTTGTAGAATCTGCAAGAGGATATTTGGATAGCTGTGAGGATTTCGTTGGAAACGGGAATGTCTTCAAAGAAAATCTAGACAGAAGCATTCTCAGAAACACCTTCGTGATGTTTGCAATCAAGTCACAGAGTTGAACCTTCCGTTTCATAGAGCAGGTTGGAAACACTCTTATTGTAGTATCTGGAAGTGGACATTTGGAGCGCTTTCAGGCCTATGGTGAAAAAGGAAATATCTTCCCATAAAAACGACATAGAAGCTATCTCAGGAACTTGTTTATGATGCATCTAATCAACTAACAGTGTTGAACCTTTGTACTAACAGAGCAGTTTGAAACACTCTTTTTTTGGAATCTGCAAGTGGATATTTGGATCGCTTTGAGGATTTCGTTGGAAACGGGATGCAATATAAAACGTACACAGCAGCATACTCAGAAAATACTTTGCCATATTTCCATTCAAGTCACAGAGTGGAACATTCCCATTCATAGAGCAGGTTGGAAACACTCTTTTTGGAGTATCTGGAAGTGGACATTTGGAGCGCTTTCTGAACTATGGTGAAAAAGGAAATATCTTAAAATGAAAACAAGACAGAAGCATTCTGAGAAACTTATTTGTGATGTGTGTCCTCAACAAACGGACTTGAACCTTTCGTTTCATGCAGTACTTCTGGAACACTCTTTTTGAAGATTCTGCATGCGGATATTTGGATAGCTTTGAGGATTTCGTTGGAAACGGGCTTACATGTAAAAATTAGACAGCAGCATTCTCAGAAACTTCTTTGTGGTGTCTGCATTCAAGTCACAGAATTGAACTTCCCCTCACATAGAGCAGTTGTGCAGCACTCTATTTGTAGTATCTGGAAGTGGACATTTGGAGGGCTTTGTAGCCTATCTGGAAAAAGGAAATATCTTCCCATGAATGCGAGATAGAAGTAATCTCAGAAACATGTTTATGCTGTATCTACTCAACTAACTGTGCTGAACATTTCTATTGATAGAGCAGTTTTGAGACACTCTTCTTTTGGAATCTGCAAGTGGATATTTGGATAGATTTGAGGATTTCGTTGGAAACGGGATTATATATAAAAAGTAGACAGCAGCATTCTCAGAAACTTCTTTGTGATGTTTGCATCCAGCTCTCAGAGTTGAACATTCCCTTTCATAGAGTAGGTTTCAAACCCTCTTTTTATAGTGTCTCGAAGCGGGCATTTGGAGCGCTTTCAGGCCTATGCTTAAAATAGGAAATATCTACCTACAGAAACTAGACAGAAGCATTCTGAGTAATCACGTTTGTGATGTGGGTACTCAACTAACAGTGTTGATCCATTCTTTTGATACAGCAGTTTTGAACCACACTTTTTGTAGAATCTGCAAGAGGATATTTGGATAGCTGTGAGGATTTCGTTGGAAACGGGAATGTCTTCAAAGAAAATCTAGACAGAAGCATTCTCAGAAACACCTTCGTGATGTTTGCAATCAAGTCACAGAGTTGAACCTTCCGTTTCATAGAGCAGGTTGGAAACACTCTTATTGTAGTATCTGGAAGTGGACATTTGGAGCGCTTTCAGGCCTATGGTGAAAAAGGAAATATCTTCCCATAAAAACGACATAGAAGCTATCTCAGGAACTTGTTTATGATGCATCTAATCAACTAACAGTGTTGAACCTTTGTACTGACAGAGCAGTTTGAAACACTCTTTTTTTGGAATCTGCAAGTGGATATTTGGATCGCTTTGAGGATTTCGTTGGAAACGGGATGCAATATAAAACGTACACAGCAGCATACTCAGAAAATACTTTGCCATATTTCCATTCAAGTCAGAGAGTGGAACATTCCCATTCATAGAGCAGGTTGGAAACACTCTTTTTGGAGTATCTGGAAGTGGACATTTGGAGCGCTTTCTGAACTATGGTGAAAAAGGAAATATCTTCCAATGAAAACAAGACAGAAGCATTCTGAGAAACTTATTTGTGATGTGTGTCCTCAACAAACGGACTTGAACCTTTCGTTTCATGCAGTACTTCTTGAGCACTCTTTTTGAAGATTCTGCATGCGGATATTTGGATAGCTTTGAGGATTTCGTTGGAAACGGGCTTACATGTAAAAATTAGACAGCAGCATTCTCAGAAACTTCTTTGTGGTGTCTGCATTCAAGTCACAGAATTGAACTTCCCCTCACATAGAGCAGTTGTGCAGCACTCTATTTGTAGTATCTGGAAGTGGACATTTGGAGGGCTTTGTAGCCTATCTGGAAAAAGGAAATATCTTCCCATGAATGCGAGATAGAAGTAATCTCAGAAACATGTTTATGCTGTATCTACTCAACTAACTGTGCTGAACATTTCTATTGATAGAGCAGTTTTGAGACCCTCTTCTTTTGGAATCTGCAAGTGGATATTTGGATAGATTTGAGGATTTCGTTGGAAACGGGATTATATATAAAAAGTAGACAGCAGCATTCTCAGAAACTTCTTTGTGATGTTTGCATCCAGCTCTCAGAGTTGAACATTCCCTTTCATAGAGTAGGTTTGAAACCCTCTTTTTATAGTGTCTGGAAGCGGGCATTTGGAGCGCTTTCAGGCCTATGCTGAAAAAGGAAATATCTACCTATAGAAACTAGACAGAAGCATTCTGAGAATCACGTTTGTGATGTGGGTACTCAACTAACAGTGTTGATCCATTCTTTTGATACAGCAGTTTTGAACCACACTTTTTGTAGAATCTGCAAGTGGATATTTGGATAGCTGTGAGGATTTCGTTGGAAACGGGAATGTCTTCATAGAAAATTTAGACAGAAGCATTCTCAGAACCTTGATTGTGATGTGTGTTCTCCACTAACAGAGTTGAACCTTTCTTTTGACAGAACTGTTCTGAAACATTCTTTTTATAGAATCTGGAAGTGGATATTTGGAAAGCTTTGAGGATTTCGTTGGAAACGGGAATATCTTCAAATAAAATCTAGCCAGAAGCATTCTAAGAAACATCTTAGGGATGTTTACATTCAAGTCACAGAGTTGAACATTCCCTTTCACAGAGCAGGTTTGAAACAATCTTCTCGTACTATCTGGCAGTGGACATTTTGAGCTGCCTTGGGGCCTATGCTGAAAAAGGAAATATCTTCTGACAAAAACTAGACAGAAAGCATTCGCAGAATCACGTTTGTGATGTGTGCACTCAACTGTCAGAATTGAACCTTGGTTTGGACAGAGCACTTTTGAAACACTCTTTTTGTAGAATCTGCAGGTGGATATTTGGCTAGCTTTGAGGATTTCGTTGGAAACGGTAATGTCTTCAAAGAAAATCTAGACAGAAGCATTCTCAGAAACACCTTCGTGATGTTTGCAATCAAGTCACAGAGTTGAACCTTCCGTTTCATAGAGCAGGTTGGAAACACTCTTTTTGTAGTATCTGGAAGTGGACATTTGGAGGGCTTTGTAGCCTATGTGGAAAAAGGAAATATCTTCCCATGAATGCGAGATAGAAGTAATCTCAGAAACATGTTTATGCTGTATCTACTCAACTAACTGTGCTGAACATTTCTATTGATAGAGCAGTTTTGAGACACTCTTCTTTTGGAATCTGCAAGTGGATATTTGGAGAGATTTGAGGATTTCGTTGGAAACGGGATTATATATAAAAAGTAGACAGCAGCATTCTCAGAAACTTCTTTGTGATGTTTGCATCCAGCTCTCAGAGTTGAACATTCCCTTTCATAGAGTAGGTTTGAAACCCTCTTTTTATAGTGTCTGGAAGCGGGCATTTGGAGCGCTTTCAGGCCTATGCTTAAAATAGGAAATATCTACCTACAGAAACTAGACAGAAGCATTCTGAGAATCACGTTTGTGATGTGGGTACTCAACTAACAGTGTTGATCCATTCTTTTGATACAGCAGTTTTGAACCACACTTTTTGTAGAATCTGCAAGAGGATATTTGGATAGCTGTGAGGATTTCGTTGGAAACGGTAATGTCTTCAAAGAAAATCTAGACAGAAGCATTCTCAGAAACACCTTCGTGATGTTTGCAATCAAGTCACAGAGTTGAACCTTCCGTTTCATAGAGCAGGTTGGAAACACTCTTATTGTAGTATCTGGAAGTGGACATTTGGAGCGCTTTCAGGCCTATGGTGAAAAAGGAAATATCTTCCCATAAAAACGACATAGAAGCTATCTCAGGAACTTGTTTGTGATGCATCTAATCAACTAACAGTGTTGAACCTTTGTACTGACAGAGCAGTTTGAAACACTCTTTTTTTGGAATCTGCAAGTGGATATTTGGATCGCTTTGAGGATTTCGTTGGAAACGGGATGCAATATAAAACGTACACAGCAGCATACTCAGAAAATGCTTTGCCATATTTCCATTCAAGTCACAGAGTGGAACATTCCCATTCATGGAGCAGGTTTGAAACACTCTTTTTGGAGTATCTGGAAGTGGACATTTGGAGCGCTTTCTGAACTATGGTGAAAAAGGAAATATCTTCCAATGAAAACAAGACAGAAGCATTCTGAGAAACTTATTTGTGATGTGTGTCCTCAACAAACGGACTTGAACCTTTCGTTTCATGCAGTACTTCTGGAACACTCTTTTTGAAGATTCTGCATGCGGATATTTGGATTGCTTTGAGGATTTCGTTGGAAACGGGCTTACATGTAAAAATTAGACAGCAGCATTCTCAGAAACTTCTTTGTGGTGTCTGCATTCAAGTCACAGAATTGAACTTCCCCTCACATAGAGCAGTTGTGCAGCACTCTATTTGTAGTATCTGGAAGTGGACATTCGGAGGGCTTTGTAGCCTATCTGGAAAAAGGAAATATCTTCCCATGAATGCGAGATAGAAGTAATCTCAGAAACATGTTTATGCTGTATCTACTCAACTAACTTTGCTGAACATTTCTATTGATAGAGCAGTTTTGAGACACTCTTCTTTTGGAATCTGCAAGTGGATATTTGGATAGATTTGAGGATTTCGTTGGAAACGGGATTATATATCAAAAGTAGACAGCAGCATTCTCAGAAACTTCTTTGTGATGTTTGCATCCAGCTCTCAGAGTTGAACATTCCCTTTCATAGAGTAGGTTTGAAACCCTCTTTTTATAGTGTCTGGAAGCGGGCATTTGGAGCGCTTTCAGGCCTATGCTGAAAAAGGAAATATCTACCTATAGAAACTAGACAGAAGCATTCTGAGAATCACGTTTGTGATGTGGGTACTCAACTAACAGTGTTGATCCATTCTTTTGATACAGCAGTTTTGAACCACACTTTTTGTAGAATCTGCAAGTGGATATTTGGATAGCTGTGAGGATTTCGTTGGAAACGGGAATGTCTTCATAGAAAATTTAGACAGAAGCATTCTCAGAACCTTGATTGTGATGTGTGTTCTCCACTAACAGAGTTGAACCTTTCTTTTGACAGAACTGTTCTGAAACATTCTTTTTATAGAATCTGGAAGTGGATATTTGGAAAGCTTTGAGGATTTCGTTGGAAACGGGAATATCTTCAAATCAAATCTAGCCAGAAGCATTCTAAGAAACATCTTAGGGATGTTTACATTCAAGTCACAGAGTTGAACATTCCCTTTCACAGAGCACGTTTGAAACAATCTTCTCGTACTATCTGGCAGTGGACATTTTGAGCTCCTTGGGGCCTATGCTGAAAAAGGAAATATCTTCCGACAAAAACTAGACAGAAGCATTCGCAGAATCACGTTTGTGATGTGTGCACTCAACTCTCAGAATTGAACCTTGGTTTGGACAGAGCACTTTTGAAACACTCTTTTTGTAGAATCTGCAGGTGGATATTTGGCTAGCTTTGAGGATTTCGTTGGAAACGGTAATGTCTTCAAAGAAAATCTAGACAGAAGCATTCTCAGAAACACCTTCGTGATGTTTGCAATCAAGTCACAGAGTTGAACCTTCCGTTTCATAGAGCAGGTTGGAAACACTCTTTTTGTAGTATCTGGAAGTGGACATTTGGAGCGCTTTCAGGCCTATGGTGAAAAAGGAAATATCTTCCCATAAAAACGACATAGAAGCTATCTCAGGAACTTGTTTATGATGCATCTAATCAACTAACAGTGTTGAACCTTTGTACTGACAGAGCAGTTTGAAACACTCTTTTTTTGGAATCTGCAAGTGGATATTTGGATCGCTTTGAGGATTTCGTTGGAAACGGGATGCAATATAAAACGTACACAGCAGCATACTCAGAAAATACTTTGCCATATTTCCATTCAAGTCACAGAGTGGAACATTCCCATTCATAGAGCAGGTTGGAAACACTCTTTTTGGAGTATCTGGAAGTGGACATTTGGAGCGCTTTCTGAACTATGGTGAAAAAGGAAATATCTTCCAATGAAAACAAGACAGAAGCATTCTGAGAAACTTATTTGTGATGCGTGTCCTCAACTAACGGACTCGAAGCTTTCGTTTCATGCAGTACTTCTGGAACACTCTTTTTGAAGATTCTGCATGCGGATATTTGGTTAGCTTTGAGGATTTCGTTGGAAACGGGCTTACATATAAAAATTAGACAGGAGCATTCTCAGAAACTTCTTTGTGGTGTCTGCATTCAAGTCACAGAATTGAACATCCCCTCACATAGAGCAGTTGTACAGCACTCTATTTGTAGTATCTCGAAGTGGACATTTGGAGGGCTTTGTAGCCTATCTGGAAAAAGGAAATATCTTCCCATGAATGCGAGATAGAAGTAATCTCAGAAACATGTTTATGCTGTATCTACTCAACTAACTGTGCTGAACATTTCTATTGATAGAGCAGTTTTGAGACACTCTTCTTTTGGAATCTGCAAGTGGATATTTGGATAGATTTGAGGATTTCGTTGGAAACGGGATTATATATAAAAAGTAGACTGCAGCATTCTCAGAAACTTCTTTGTGATGTTTGCATCCAGCTCTCAGAGTTGAACATTCCCTTTCATAGAGTAGGTTTGAAACCCTCTTTTTATAGTGTCTGGAAGCGGGCATTTGGAGCGCTTTCAGGCCTATGCTGAAAAAGGAAATATCTACCTATAGAAACTAGACAGAAGCATTCTGAGAATCACGTTTGTGATGTGGGTACTCAACTAGC
The DNA here is from genome assembly GCF_000001405.40 of Homo sapiens. Classification (NCBI taxonomy): domain Eukaryota; kingdom Metazoa; phylum Chordata; class Mammalia; order Primates; family Hominidae; genus Homo; species Homo sapiens. Next base: position 44,190,282 of record NC_000008.11, read on the forward strand.
AGTGTTGATCCATTCTTTTGATACAGCAGTTTTGAACCACACTTTTTGTAGAATCTGCAAGTGGATATTTGGATAGCTGTGAGGATTTCGTTGGAAACGGGAATGTCTTCATAGAAAATTTAGACAGAAGCATTCTCAGAACCTTGATTGTGATGTGTGTTCTCCACTAACAGAGTTGAACCTTTCTTTTGACAGAACTGTTCTGAAACATTCTTTTTATAGAATCTGGAAGTGGATATTTTGAAAGCTTTGAGGATTTCATTGGAAACGGGAATATCTTCAAATAAAATCTAGCCAGAAGCATTCTAAGAAACATCTTAGGGATGTTTACATTCAAGTCACAGAGTTCAACATTCCCTTTCACAGAGCAGGTTTGAAACAATCTTCTCGTACTATCTGGCAGTGGACATTTTGAGCTCCTTGGGGCCTATGCTGAAAAAGGAAATATCTTCCGACAAAAACTAGACAGAAGCATTCGCAGAATCACGTTTGTGATGTGTGCACTCAACTGTCAGAATTGAACCTTGGTTTAGACAGAGCACTTTTGAAACACTCTTTTTGTAGAATCTGCAGGTGGATATTTGGCTAGCTTTGAGGATTTCGTTGGAAACGGTAATGTCTTCAAAGAAAATCTAGACAGAAGCATTCTCAGAAACACCTTCGTGATGTTTGCAATCAAGTCACAGAGTTGAACCTTCCGTTTCATAGAGCAGGTTGGAAACACTCTTATTGTAGTATCTGGAAGTGGACATTTGGAGCGCTTTCAGGCCTATGGTGAAAAAGGAAATATCTTCCCATAAAAACGACATAGAAGCTATCTCAGGAACTTGTTTATGATGCATCTAATCAACTAACAGTGTTGAACCTTTGTACTGACAGAGCAGTTTGAAACACTCTTTTTTTGGAATCTGCAAGTGGATATTTGGATCGCTTTGAGGATTTCGTTGGAAACGGGATGCAATATAAAACGTACACAGCAGCATACTCAGAAAATACTTTGCCATATTTCCATTCAAGTCAGAGAGTGGAACATTCCCATTCATAGAGCAGGTTGGAAACACTCTTTTTGGAGTATCTGGAAGTGGACATTTGGAGCGCTTTCTGAACTATGGTGAAAAAGGAAATATCTTCCAATGAAAACAAGACAGAAGCATTCTGAGAAACTTATTTGTGATGTGTGTCCTCAACAAACGGACTTGAACCTTTCGTTTCATGCAGTACTTCTGGAACACTCTTTTTGAAGATTCTGCATGCGGATATTTGGATAGCTTTGAGGATTTCGTTGGAAACGGGCTTACATGTAAAAATTAGACAGCAGCATTCTCAGAAACTTCTTTGTGGTGTCTGCATTCAAGTCACAGAATTGAACTTCCCCTCACATAGAGCAGTTGTGCAGCACTCTATTTGTAGTATCTGGAAGTGGACATTTGGAGGGCTTTGTAGCCTATCTGGAAAAAGGAAATATCTTCCCATGAATGCGAGATAGAAGTAATCTCAGAAACATGTTTATGCTGTATCTACTCAACTAACTGTGCTGAACATTTCTATTGATAGAGCAGTTTTGAGACACTCTTCTTTTGGAATCTGCAAGTGGATATTTGGATAGATTTGAGGATTTCGTTGGAAACGGGATTATATATAAAAAGTAGACAGCAGCATTCTCAGAAACTTCTTTGTGATGTTTGCATCCAGCTCTCAGAGTTGAACATTCCCTTTCATAGAGTAGGTTTGAAACCCTCTTTTTATAGTGTCTGGAAGCGGGCATTTGGAGCGCATTCAGGCCTATGCTTAAAATAGGAAATATCTACCTACAGAAACTAGACAGAAGCATTCTGAGAATCACGTTTGTGATGTGGGTACTCAACTAACAGTGTTGATCCATTCTTTTGATACAGCAGTTTTGAACCACACTTTTTGTAGAATCTGCAAGAGGATATTTGGATAGCTGTGAGGATTTCGTTGGAAACGGGAATGTCTTCAAAGAAAATCTAGACAGAAGCATTCTCAGAAACACCTTCGTGATGTTTGCAATCAAGTCACAGAGTTGAACCTTCCGTTTCATAGAGCAGGTTGGAAACACTCTTATTGTAGTATCTGGAAGTGGACATTTGGAGCGCTTTCAGGCCTATGGTGAAAAAGGAAATATCTTCCCATAAAAACGACATAGAAGCTATCTCAGGAACTTGTTTATGATGCATCTAATCAACTAACAGTGTTGAACCTTTGTACTGACAGAGCACTTTGAAACACTCTTTTTTTGGAATCTGCAAGTGGATATTTGGATCGCTTTGAGGATTTCGTTGGAAACGGGATGCAATATAAAACGTACACAGCAGCATACTCAGAAAATACTTTGCCATATTTCCATTCAAGTCACAGAGTGGAACATTCCCATTCATAGAGCAGGTTGGAAACACTCTTTTTGGAGTATCTGGAAGTGGACATTTGGAGCGCTTTCTGAACTATGGTGAAAAAGGAAATATCTTCCAATGAAAACAAGACAGAAGCATTCTGAGAAACTTATTTGTGATGTGTGTCCTCAACAAACGGACTTGAACCTTTCGTTTCATGCAGTACTTCTGGAACACTCTTTTTGAAGATTCTGCATGCGGATATTTCGATAGCTTTGAGGATTTCGTTGGAAACGGGCTTACATGTAAAAATTAGACAGCAGCATTCTCAGAAACTTCTTTGTGGTGTCTGCATTCAAGTCACAGAATTGAACTTCCCCTCACATAGAGCAGTTGTGCAGCACTCTATTTGTAGTATCTGGAAGTGGACATTTGGAGGGCTTTGTAGCCTATCTGGAAAAAGGAAATATCTTCCCATGAATGCGAGATAGAAGTAATCTCAGAAACATGTTTATGCTGTATCTACTCAACTAACTGTGCTGAACATTTCTATTGATAGAGCAGTTTTGAGACACTCTTCTTTTGGAATCTGCAAGTGGATATTTGGATAGATTTGAGGATTTCGTTGGAAACGGGATTATATATCAAAAGTAGACAGCAGCATTCTCAGAAACTTCTTTGTGATGTTTGCATCCAGCTCTCAGAGTTGAACATTCCCTTTCATAGAGTAGGTTTGAAACCCTCTTTTTATAGTGTCTGGAAGCGGGCATTTGGAGCGCTTTCAGGCCTATGCTTAAAATAGGAAATATCTACCTACAGAAACTAGACAGAAGCATTCTGAGAATCACGTTTGTGATGTGGGTACTCAACTAACAGTGTTGATCCATTCTTTTGATACAGCAGTTTTGAACCACACTTTTTGTAGAATCTGCAAGAGGATATTTGGATAGCTGTGAGGATTTCGTTGGAAACGGGAATGTCTTCAAAGAAAATCTAGACAGAAGCATTCTCAGAAACACCTTCATGATGTTTGCAATCAAGTCACAGAGTTGAACCTTCCGTTTCATAGAGCAGGTTGGAAACACTCTTATTGTAGTATCTGGAAGTGGACATTTGGAGCGCTTTCAGGCCTATGGTGAAAAAGGAAATATCTTCCCATAAAAACGACATAGAAGCTATCTCAGGAACTTGTTTATGATGCATCTAATCAACTAACAGTGTTGAACCTTTCTACTGACAGAGCAGTTTGAAACACTCTTTTTTTGGAATCTGCAAGTGGATATTTGGATCACTTTGAGGATTTCGTTGGAAACGGGATGCAATATAAAACGTACACAGCAGCATACTCAGAAAATACTTTGCCATGTTTCCATTCAAGTCACAGAGTGGAACATTCCCATTCATAGAGCAGGTTGGAAACACTCTTTTTGGAGTATCTGGAAGTGGACATTTGGAGCGCTTTCTGAACTATGGTGAAAAAGGAAATATCTTCCAATGAAAACAAGACAGAAGCATTCTGAGAAACTTATTTGTGATGTGTGTCCTCAACAAACGGACTTGAACCTTTCGTTTCATGCAGTACTTCTGGAACACTCTTTTTGAAGATTCTGCATGCGGATATTTGGATAGCTTTGAGGATTTCGTTGGAAACGGGCTTACATGTAAAAATTAGACAGCAGCATTCTCAGAAACTTCTTTGTGGTGTCTGCATTCAAGTCACAGAATTGAACTTCCCCTCACATAGAGCAGTTGTGCAGCACTCTATTTGTAGTATCTGGAAGTGGACATTTGGAGGGCTTTGTAGCCTATCTGGAAAAAGGAAATATCTTCCCATGAATGCGAGATAGAAGTAATCTCAGAAACATGTTTATGCTGTATCTACTCAACTAACTGTGCTGAACATTTCTATTGATAGAGCAGTTTTGAGACACTCTTCTTTTGGAATCTGCAAGTGGATATTTTGGGATAGATTTGAGGATTTCGTTGGAAACGGGATTATATATAAAAAGTAGACAGCAGCATTCTCAGAAACTTCTTTGTGATGTTTGCATCCAGCTCTCAGAGTTGAACATTCCCTTTCATAGAGTAGGTTTGAAACCCTCTTTTTATAGTGTCTGGAAGCGGGCATTTGGAGCGCTTTCAGGCCTATGCTTAAAATAGGAAATATCTACCTACAGAAACTAGACAGAAGCATTCTGAGAATCACGTTTGTGATGTGGGTACTCAACTAACAGTGTTGATCCATTCTTTTGATACAGCAGTTTTGAACCACACTTTTTGTAGAATCTGCAAGAGGATATTTGGATAGCTGTGAGGATTTCGTTGGAAACGGGCATGTCTTCAAAGAAAATCTAGACAGAAGCATTTTCAGAAACACCTTCGTGATGTTTGCAATCAAGTCACAGAGTTGAACCTTCCGTTTCATAGAGCAGGTTGGAAACACTCTTATTGTAGTATCTGGAAGTGGACATTTGGAGCGCTTTCAGGCCTATGGTGAAAAAGGAAATATCTTCCCATAAAAACGACATAGAAGCTATCTCAGGAACTTGTTTATGATGCATCTAATCAACTAACAGTGTTGAACCTTTGTACTGACAGAGCAGTTTGAAACACTCTTTTTTTGGAATCTGCAAGTGGATATTTGGATCGCTTTGAGGATTTCGTTGGAAACGGGATGCAATATAAAACGTACACAGCAGCATACTCAGAAAATACTTTGCCATATTTCCATTCAAGTCACAGAGTGGAACATTCCCATTCATAGAGCAGGTTGGAAACACTCTTTTTGGAGTATCTGGAAGTGGACATTTGGAGCGCTTTCTGAACTATGGTGAAAAAGGAAATATCTTCCAATGAAAACAAGACAGAAGCATTCTGAGAAACTTATTTGTGATGTGTGTCCTCAACAAACGGACTTGAACCTTTCGTTTCATGCAGTACTTCTGGAACACTCTTTTTGAAGATTCTGCATGCGGATATTTGGATAGCTTTGAGGATTTCGTTGGAAACGGGCTTACATGTAAAAATTAGACAGCAGCATTCTCAGAAACTTCTTTGTGGTGTCTGCATTCAAGTCACAGAATTGAACATCCCCTCACATAGAGCAGTTGTGCAGCACTCTATTTGTAGTATCTGGAAGTGGACATTTGGAGGGCTTTGTAGCCTATCTGGAAAAAGGAAATATCTTCCCATGAATGCGAGATAGAAGTAATCTCAGAAACATGTTTATGCTGTATCTACTCAACTAACTGTGCTGAACATTTCTATTGATAGAGCAGTTTTGAGACACTCTTCTTTTGGAATCTGCAAGTGGATATTTGGATAGATTTGAGGATTTCGTTGGAAACGGGATTATATATAAAAAGTAGACAGCAGCATTCTCAGAAACTTCTTTGTGATGTTTGCATCCAGCTCTCAGAGTTGAACATTCCCTTTCATAGAGTAGGTTTGAAACCCTCTTTTTATAGTGTCTGGAAGCGGGCATTTGGAGCGCTTTCAGGCCTATGCTTAAAATAGGAAATATCTACCTACAGAAACTAGACAGAAGCATTCTGAGAATCACGTTTGTGATGTGGGTACTCAACTAACAGTGTTGATCCATTCTTTTGATACAGCAGTTTTGAACCACACTTTTTGTAGAATCTGCAAGAGGATATTTGGATAGCTGTGAGGATTTCGTTGGAAACGGGAATGTCTTCAAAGAAAATCTAGACAGAAGCATTCTCAGAAACACCTTCGTGATGTTTGCAATCAAGTCACAGAGTTGAACCTTCCGTTTCATAGAGCAGGTTGGAAACACTCTTTTTGTAGTATCTGGAAGTGGACATTTGGAGCGCTTTCAGGCCTATGGTGAAAAAGGAAATATCTTCCCATAAAAACGACATAGAAGCTATCTCAGGAACTTGTTTATGATGCATCTAATCAACTAACAGTGTTGAACCTTTGTACTGACAGAGCAGTTTGAAACACTCTTTTTTTGGAATCTGCAAGTGGATATTTGGATCGCTTTGAGGATTTCGTTGGAAACGGGATGCAATATAAAACGTACACAGCAGCATACTCAGAAAATACTTTGCCATATTTCCATTCAAGTCACAGAGTGGAACATTCCCATTCATAGAGCAGGTTTGAAACACTCTTTTTGGAGTATCTGGAAGTGGACATTTGGAGCGCTTTCTGAACTATGGTGAAAAAGGAAATATCTTCCAATGAAAACAAGACAGAAGCATTCTGAGAAACTTATTTGTGATGTGTGTCCTCAACAAACGGACTTGAACCTTTCGTTTCATGCAGTACTTCTGGAACACTCTTTTTGAAGATTCTGCATGCGGATATTTGGATAGCTTTGAGGATTTCGTTGGAAACGGGCTTACATGTAAAAATTAGACAGCAGCATTCTCAGAAACTTCTTTGTGGTGTCTGCATTCAAGTCACAGAATTGAACATCCCCTCACATAGAGCAGTTGTGCAGCACTCTATTTGTAGTATCTGGAAGTGGACATTTGGAGGGCTTTGTAGCCTATCTGGAAAAAGGAAATATCTTCCCATGAATGCGAGATAGAAGTAATCTCAGAAAGATGTTTATGCTGTATCTACTCAACTAACTGTGCTGAACATTTCTATTGATAGAGCAGTTTTGAGACACTCTTCTTTTGGAATCTGCAAGTGGATATTTGGATAGATTTGAGGATTTCGTTGGAAACGGGATTATATATAAAAAGTAGACAGCAGCATTCTCAGAAACTTCTTTGTGATGTTTGCATCCAGCTCTCAGAGTTGAACATTCCCTTTCATAGAGTAGGTTTGAAACCCTCTTTTTATAGTGTCTGGAAGCGGGCATTTGGAGCGCTTTCAGGCCTATGCTGAAAAAGGAAATATCTACCTATAGAAACTAGACAGAAGCATTCTGAGAATCACGTTTGTGATGTGGGTACTCAACTAACAGTGTTGATCCATTCTTTTGATACAGCAGTTTTGAACCACACTTTTTGTAGAATCTGCAAGTGGATATTTGGATAGCTGTGAGGATTTCGTTGGAAACGGGAATGTCTTCATAGAAAATTTAGACGGAAGCATTCTCAGAACCTTGATTGTGATGTGTGTTCTCCACTAACAGAGTTGAACCTTTCTTTTGACAGAACTGTTCTGAAACATTCTTTTTATAGAATCTGGAAGTGGATATTTGGAAAGCTTTGAGGATTTCGTTGGAAACGGGAATATCTTCAAATAAAATCTAGCCAGAAGCATTCTAAGAAACATCTTAGGGATGTTTACATTCAAGTCACAGAGTTGAACATTCCCTTTCACAGAGCAGGTTTGAAACAATCTTCTCGTACTATCTGGCAGTGGACATTTTGAGCTCCTTGGGGCCTATGCTGAAAAAGGAAATATCTTCCGACAAAAACTAGACAGAAGCATTCGCAGAATCACGTTTGTGATGTGTGCACTCAACTGTCAGAATTGAACCTTGGTTTGGACAGAGCAATTTTGAAACACTCTTTTTGTAGAATCTGCAGGTGGATATTTGGCTAGCTTTGAGGATTTCGTTGGAAACGGTAATGTCTTCAAAGAAAATCTAGACAGAAGCATTCTCAGAAACACCTTCGTGATGTTTGCAATCAAGTCACAGAGTTGAACCTTCCGTTTCATAGAGCAGGTTGGAAACACTCTTTTTGTAGTATCTGGAAGTGGACATTTGGAGGGCTTTGTAGCCTATCTGGAAAAAGGAAATATCTTCCCATGAATGCGAGATAGAAGTAATCTCAGAAACATGTTTATGCTGTATCTACTCAACTAACTGTGCTGAACATTTCTATTGATAGAGCAGTTTTGAGACACTCTTCTTTTGGAATCTGCAAGTGGATATTTGGATAGATTTGAGGATTTCGTTGGAAACGGGATTATATATAAAAAGTAGACAGCAGCATTCTCAGAAACTTCTTTGTGATGTTTGCATCCAGCTCTCAGAGTTGAACATTCCCTTTCATAGAGTAGGTTTGAAACCCTCTTTTTATAGTGTCTGGAAGCGGGCATTTGGAGCGCTTTCAGGCCTATGCTGAAAAAGGAAATATCTACCTATAGAAACTAGACAGAAGCATTCTGAGAATCACGTTTGTGATGTGGGTACTCAACTAACAGTGTTGATCCATTCTTTTGATACAGCAGTTTTGAACCACACTTTTTGTAGAATCTGCAAGTGGATATTTGGATAGCTGTGAGGATTTCGTTGGAAACGGGAATGTCTTCATAGAAAATTTAGACAGAAGCATTCTCAGAACCTTGATTGTGATGTGTGTTCTCCACTAACAGAGTTGAACCTTTCTTTTGACAGAACTGTTCTGAAACATTCTTTTTATAGAATCTGGAAGTGGATATTTGGAAAGCTTTGAGGATTTCGTTGGAAACGGGAATATCTTCAAATCAAATCTAGCCAGAAGCATTCTAAGAAACATCTTAGGGATGTTTACATTCAAGTCACAGAGTTGAACATTCCCTTTCACAGCAGCAGGTTTGAAACAATCTTCTCGTACTATCTGGCAGTGGACATTTTGAGCTCCTTGGGGCCTATGCTGAAAAAGGAAATATCTTCCGACAAAAACTAGACAGAAGCATTCGCAGAATCACGTTTGTGATGTGTGCACTCAACTGTCAGAATTGAACCTTGGTTTGGACAGAGCACTTTTGAAACACTCTTTTTGTAGAATCTGCAGGTGGATATTTGGCTAGCTTTGAGGATTTCGTTGGAAACGGTAATGTCTTCAAAGAAAATCTAGACAGAAGCATTCTCAGAAACACCTTCGTGATGTTTGCAATCAAGTCACAGAGTTGAACCTTCCGTTTCATAGAGCAGGTTGGAAACACTCTTTTTGTAGTATCTGGAAGTGGACATTTGGAGGGCTTTGTAGCCTATCTGGAAAAAGGAAATATCTTCCCATGAATGCGAGATAGAAGTAATCTCAGAAACATGTTTATGCTGTATCTACTCAACTAACTGTGCTGAACATTTCTATTGATAGAGCAGTTTTGAGACACTCTTCTTTTGGAATCTGCAAGTGGATATTTGGATAGATTTGAGGATTTCGTTGGAAACGGGATTATATATAAAAAGTAGACAGCAGCATTCTCAGAAACTTCTTTGTGATGTTTGCATCCAGCTCTCAGAGTTGAACATTCCCTTTCATAGAGTAGGTTTGAAACCCTCTTTTTATAGTGTCTGGAAGCGGGCATTTGGAGCGCTTTCAGGCCTATGCTGAAAAAGGAAATATCTACCTATAGAAACTAGACAGAAGCATTCTGAGAATCACGTTTGTGATGTGGGTACTCAACTAACAGTGTTGATCCATTCTTTTGATACAGCAGTTTTGAACCACACTTTTTGTAGAATCTGCAAGTGGATATTTGGATAGCTGTGAGGATTTCGTTGGAAACGGGAATGTCTTCATAGAAAATTTAGACAGAAGCATTCTCAGAACCTTGATTGTGATGTGTGTTCTCCACTAACAGAGTTGAACCTTTCTTTTGACAGAACTGTTCTGAAACATTCTTTTTATAGAATCTGGAAGTGGATATTTGGAAAGCTTTGAGGATTTCGTTGGAAACGGGAATATCTTCAAATCAAATCTAGCCAGAAGCATTCTAAGAAACATCTTAGGGATGTTTACATTCAAGTCACAGAGTTGAACATTCCCTTTCACAGAGCAGGTTTGAAACAATCTTCTCGTACTATCTGGCAGTGGACATTTTGAGCTCCTTGGGGCCTATGCTGAAAAAGGAAATATCTTCCGACAAAAACTAGACAGAAGCATTCGCAGAATCACGTTTGTGATGTGTGCACTCAACTGTCAGAATTGAACCTTGGTTTGGACAGAGCACTTTTGAAACACTCTTTTTGCAGAATCTGCAGGTGGATATTTGGCTAGCTTTGAGGATTTCGTTGGAAACGGTAATGTCTTCAAAGAAAATCTAGACAGAAGCATTCTCAGAAACAACTTCGTGATGTTTGCAATCAAGTCACAGAGTTGAACCTTCCGTTTCATAGAGCAGGTTGGAAACACTCTTTTTGTAGTATCTGGAAGTGGACATTTGGAGGGCTTTGTAGCCTATCTGGAAAAAGGAAATATCTTCCCATGAATGCGAGATAGAAGTAATCTCAGAAACATCTTTATGCTGTATCTACTCAACTAACTGTGCTGAACATTTCTATTGATAGAGCAGTTTTGAGACACTCTTCTTTTGGAATCTGCAAGTGGATATTTGGATAGATTTGAGGATTTCGTTGGAAACGGGATTATATATAAAAAGTAGACAGCAGCATTCTCAGAAACTTCTTTGTGATGTTTGCATCCAGCTCTCAGAGTTGAGCATTCCCTTTCATAGAGTAGGTTTGAAACCCTCTTTTTATAGTGTCTGGAAGCGGGCATTTGGAGCGCTTTCAGGCCTATGCTTAAAATAGGAAATATCTACCTACAGAAACTAGACAGAAGCATTCTGAGAATCACGTTTGTGATGTGGGTACTCAACTAACAGTGTTGATCCATTCTTTTGATACAGCAGTTTTGAACCACACTTTTTGTAGAATCTGCAAGTGGATATTTGGATAGCTGTGAGGATTTCGTTGGAAACGGTAATGTCTTCAAAGAAAATCTAGACAGAAGCATTCTCAGAAACACCTTCGTGATGTTTGCAATCAAGTCACAGAGTTGAACCTTCCGTTTCATAGAGCAGGTTGGAAACACTCTTATTGTAGTATCTGGAAGTGGACATTTGGAGCGCTTTCAGGCCTATGGTGAAAAAGGAAATATCTTCCCATAAAAACGACATAGAAGCTATCTCAGGAACTTGTTTATGATGCATCTAATCAACTAACAGTGTTGAACCTTTGTACTGACAGAGCAGTTTGAAACACTCTTTTTTTGGAATCTGCAAGTGGATATTTGGATCGCTTTGAGGATTTCGTTGGAAACGGGATGCAATATAAAACGTACACAGCAGCATACTCAGAAAATACTTTGCCATATTTCCATTCAAGTCACAGAGTGGAACATTCCCATTCATAGAGCAGGTTGGAAACACTCTTTTTGGAGTATCTGGAAGTGGACATTTGGAGCGCTTTCTGAACTATGGTGAAAAAGGAAATATCTTCCAATGAAAACAAGACAGAAGCATTCTGAGAAACTTATTTGTGATGTGTGTCCTCAACAAACGGACTTGAACCTTTCGTTTCATGCAGTACTTCTGGAACACTCTTTTTGAAGATTCTGCATGCGGATATTTGGATAGCTTTGAGGATTTCGTTGGAAACGGGCTTCCATGTAAAAATTAGACAGCAGCATTCTCAGAAACTTCTTTGTGGTGTCTGCATTCAAGTCACAGAATTGAACATCCCCTCATATAGAGCAGTTGTGCAGCACTCTTTTTGTAGTATCTGGAAGTGGACATTTGGAGGGCTTTGTAGCCTATCTGGAAAAAGGAAATATCTTCCCATGAATGCGAGATAGAAGTAATCTCAGAAACATGTTTATGCTGTATCTACTCAACTAACTGTGCTGAACATTTCTATTGATAGAGCAGTTTTGAGACACTCTTCTTTTGGAATCTGCAAGCGGATATTTGGATAGATTTGAGGATTTCGTTGGAAACGGGATTATATATAAAAAGTAGACAGCAGCATTCTCAGAAACTTCTTTGTGATGTTTGCATCCAGCTCTCAGAGTTGAACATTCCCTTTCATAGAGTAGGTTTGAAACCCTCTTTTTATAGTGTCTGGAAGCGGGCATTTGGAGCGCTTTCAGGCCTATGCTGAAAAAGGAAATATCTACCTATAGAAACTAGACAGAAGCATTCTGAGAATCACGTTTGTGATGTGGGTACTCAACTAACAGTGTTGATCCATTCTTTTGATACAGCAGTTTTGAACCACACTTTTTGTAGAATCTGCAAGTGGATATTTGGATAGCTGTGAGGATTTCGTTGGAAACGGGAATGTCTTCATAGAAAATTTAGACAGAAGCATTCTCAGAACCTTGATTGTGATGTGTGTTCTCCACTAACAGAGTTGAACCTTTCTTTTGACAGAACTGTTCTGAAACATTCTTTTTATAGAATCTGGAAGTGGATATTTGGAAAGCTTTGAGGATTTCGTTGGAAACGGGAATATCTTCAAATAAAATCTAGCCAGAAGCATTCTAAGAAACATCTTAGGGATGTTTACATTCAAGTCACAGAGTTGAACATTCCCTTTCACAGAGCAGGTTTGAAACAATCTTCTCGTACTATCTGGCAGTGGACATTTTGAGCTCTTTGGGGCCTATGCTGAAAAAGGAAATATCTTCCGACAAAAACTAGTCAGAAGCATTCGCAGAATCACGTTTGTGATGTGTGCACTCAACTGTCAGAATTGAACCTTGGTTTGGAGAGAGCACTTTTGAAACACACTTTTTGTAGAATCTGCAGGTGGATATTTGGCTAGCTTTGAGGATTTCGTTGGAAACGGTAATGTCTTCAAAGAAAATCTAGACAGAAGCATTCTCAGAAACACCTTCGTGATGTTTGCAATCAAGTCACAGAGTTGAACCTTCCGTTTCATAGAGCATGTTGGAAACACACTTTTTGTAGTATCTGGAAGTGGACATTTGGAGGGCTTTGTAGCCTATCTGGAAAAAGGAAATATCTTCCCATGAATGCGAGATAGATGTAATCTCAGAAACATGTTTATGCTGTATCTACTCAACTAACTGTGCTGAACATTTCTATTGATAGAGCAGTTTTGAGACACTCTTCTTTTGGAATCTGCAAGTGGATATTTGGATAGATTTGAGGATTTCGTTGGAAACGGGATTATATATAAAAAGTAGACAGCAGCATTCTCAGAAACTTCTTTGTGATGTTTGCATCCAGCTCTCAGAGTTGAACATTCCCTTTCATAGAGTAGGTTTGAAACCCTCTTTTTATAGTGTCTAGAAGCGGGCATTTGGAGCGCTTACAGGCCTATGCTTAAAATAGGAAATATCCACCTACAGAAACTAGACAGAAGCATTCTGAGAATCACGTTTGTGATGTGGGTACTCAACTAACAGTGTTGATCCATTCTTTTGATACAGCAGTTTTGAACCACACTTTTTGTAGAATCTGCAAGTGGATATTTGGATAGCTGTGAGGATTTCGTTGGAAACGGGAATGTCTTCTTAGAAAACTTAGACAGAAGCATTCTCAGAACCTTGATTGTGATGTGTGTTCTCCACTAACAGAGTTGAACCTTTCTTTTGACAGAACTGTTCTGAAACATTCTTTTTATAGAATCTGGAAGTGGATATTTGGAAAGCTTTGAGGATTTCGTTGGAAACGGGAATATCTTCAAATAAAATCTAGCCAGAAGCATTCTAAGAAACATCTTAGGGATGTTTACATTCAAGTCACAGAGTTGAACATTCCCTTTCACAGAGCAGGTTTGAAACAATCTTCTCGTACTATCTGGCAGTGGACATTTTGAGCTCCTTGGGGCCTATGCTGAAAAAGGAAATATCTTCCGACAAAAACTAGACAGAAGCATTCGCAGAATCACGTTTGTGATGTGTGCACTCAACTGTCAGAATTGAACCTTGGTTTGGACAGAGCACTTTTGAAACACTCTTTTTGTAGAATCTGCAGGTGGATATTTGGCTAGCTTTGAGGATTTCGTTGGAAACGGTAATGTCTTCAAAGAAAATCTACACAGAAGCATTCTCAGAAACACCTTCGTGATGTTTGCAATCAAGTCACAGAGTTGAACCTTCCGTTTCATAGAGCAGGTTGGAAACACTCTTTTTGTAGTATCTGGAAGTGGACATTTGGAGGGCTTTGTAGCCTTTCTGGAAAAAGGAAATATCTTCCCCTGAATGCGAGATAGAAGTAATCTCAGAAACATGTTTATGCTGTATCTACTCAACTAACTGTGCTGAACATTTCTATTGATAGAGCAGTTTTGAGACACTCTTCTTTTGGAATCTGCAAGTGGATATTTGGATAGATTTGAGGATTTCGTTGGAAACGGGATTATATATAAAAAGTAGACAGCAGCATTCTCAGAAACTTCTTTGTGATGTTTGCATCCAGCTCTCAGAGTTGAACATTCCCTTTCATAGAGTAGGTTTGAAACCCCCTTTTTATACTGTCTGGAAGCGGGCATTTGGAGCGCTTTCAGGCCTATGCTGAAAAAGGAATTATCTACCTACAGAAACTAGACAGAAGCATTCTGAGAATCACGTTTGTGATGTGGGTACTCAACTAACAGTGTTGATCCATTCTTTTGATACAGCAGTTTTGAACCACCCTTTTTGTAGAATCTGCAAGTGGATATTTGGATAGCTGTGAGGATTTCGTTGGAAACGGGAATGTCTTCATAGAAAATTTAGACAGAAGCATTCTCAGAACCTGGATTGTGATGTGAGTTCTCCACTAACAGAGTTGAACCTTTCTTTGGACAGAACTGATTTGAAACATTCTTTTTAGAGAATCTGGAAGTGGATATTTGGAAAGTTTTGAGGATTTCGTTGGAAATGGGAATATCTTCAAATAAAATCTAGCCAGAAGCATTCTAAGAAACATCTTAGGGATGTTTACATTCAAGTCACAGAGTTGAACATTCCCCTTTCTCAGAGCAGGTTTGAAACAATCTTCTCGTACTATCTGGCAGTGGACATTTTGAGCTCCTTGGGGCCTATGCTGAAAAAGGAAATATCTTCCGACAAAAACTAGACAGAAGCATTTGCAGAATCACGTTTGTGATGTGTGCACTCAACTGTCAGAATTGAACCTTTGTTTGGACAGAGCACTTTTGAGACACTCTTTTCGTAGGATCTGCAGGTGGATATTTGGCTAGCTTTGAGGATTTCGTTGGAAACGGGAATGTCTTCAAAGAAAATCTAGACAGAAACATCCTCAGAAACACCTTCGTGATGTTTGCAATCAAGTCACAGAGTTGAACCTTCCGTTTCATAGAGCAGGTTGGAAACACTCATTTTGTAGTATCTGGAAGTGGACATTTGGAGCGCTTTCAGGCCTATGGTGTAAAAGGAAATATCTTCCCATAAAAGCGACATAGAAGCTATCTCAGGAACTTGTTTATGATGCATCTAATCAACTAACAGTGTTGAACCTTTGTACTGACAGAGCAGTTTGAAACACTCTTTTTTTGGAATCTGCAAGTGGATATTTGGATGGCCTTGAGGATTTCGTTGGAAACGGGATGCAATATAAAACGTACACAGCAGCATACTCAGAAAATACTTTGCCATATTTCCATTCAAGTCACAGAGTGGAACATTCCCATTCATAGAGCAGGTTTGAAACACTTTTTTTGGAGTGTCTGGAAGTGGACATTTGGAGCGCTTTCAGAACTATGGTGAAAAAGGAAATATCTTCCAATGAAAACAAGACAGAAGCATTCTGAGAAACTTATTTGTGATGCGTGTCCTCAACTAACGGACTCGAACCTTTCGTTTCACGCAGTACTTCTGGAACACTCTTTTTGAAGATTCTGCATGCGGATATTTGGATAGCTTTGAGGATTTCGTTGGAAACGGGCTTACATATAAAAATTAGACAGCAAGCATTCTCAGTAAACTTCTTTGTGGTGTCTGCATTCAAGTCACAGAATTGAACATCCCCTCACATAGAGCAGTTGTGCAGCACTCTATTTGTAGTATCTGGAAGTGGACATTTGGAGGGCTTTGTAGCCTATCTGGAAAAAGGAAATATCTTCCCATGAATGCGAGATAGAAGTAATCTCAGAAACATGTTTATGCTGTATCTACTCAACTAACTGTGCTGAACATTTCTATTGATAGAGCAGTTTTGAGACACTCTTCTTTTGGAATCTGCAAGTGGATATTTGGATAGATTTGAGGATTTCGTTGGAAACGGGATTATATATAAAAAGTAGACAGCAGCATTCTCAGAAACTTCTTTGTGATGTTTGCATCCAGCTCTCAGAGTTGAACATTCCCTTTCATAGAGTAGGTTTGAAACCCTCTTTTTATAGTGTCTGCAAGCGGGCATTTGGAGCGCTTTCAGGCCTATGCTTAAAATAGGAATTATCTACCTACAGAAACTAGACAGAAGCATTCTGAGAATCACGTTTGTGATGTGGGTACTCAACTAACAGTGTTGATCCATTCTTTTGATACAGCAGTTTTGAACCACACTTTTTATAGAATCTGCAAGAGGATATTTGGATAGCTGTGAGGATTTCGTTGGAAACGGGAATGTCTTCAAAGAAAATCTAGACAGAAGCATTCTCAGAAACACCTTCGTGATGTTTGCAATCAAGTCACAGAGTTGAACCTTCCGTTTCATAGAGCAGGTTGGAAACACTCTTATTGTAGTATCTGGAAGTGGACATTTGGAGCGCTTTCAGGCCTATGGTGAAAAAGGAAATATCTTCCCATAAAAACGACATAGAAGCTATCTCAGGAACTTGTTTATGATGCATCTAATCAACTAACAGTGTTGAACCTTTGTACTGACAGAGCAGTTTGAAACACTCTTTTTTTGGAATCTGCAAGTGGATATTTGGATCGCTTTGAGGATTTCGTTGGAAACGGGATGCAATATAAAACGTACACAGCAGCATACTCAGAAAATACTTTGCCATATTTCCATTCAAGTCACAGAGTGGAACATTCCCATTCATAGAGCAGGTTGGAAACACTCTTTTTGGAGTATCTGGAAGTGGACATTTGGAGCGCTTTCTGAACTATGGTGAAAAAGGAAATATCTTCCAATGAAAACAAGACAGAAGCATTCTGAGAAACTTATTTGTGATGTGTGTCCTCAACAAACGGACTTGAACCTTTCGTTTCATGCAGTACTTCTGGAACACTCTTTTTGAAGATTCTGCATGCGGATATTTGGATAGCTTTGAGGATTTCGTTGGAAACGGGCTTACATGTAAAAATTAGACAGCAGCATTCTCAGAAACTTCTTTGTGGTGTCTGCATTCAAGTCACAGAATTGAACTTCCCCTCACATAGAGCAGTTGTGCAGCACTCTATTTGTAGTATCTGGAAGTGGACATTTGGAGGGCTTTGTAGCCTATCTGGAAAAAGGAAATATCTTCCCATGAATGCGAGATAGAAGTAGTCTCAGAAACATGTTTATGCTGTATCTACTCAACTAACTGTGCTGAACATTTCTATTGATAGAGCAGTTTTGAGACACTCTTCTTTTGGAATCTGCAAGTGGATATTTGGATAGATTTGAGGATTTCGTTGGAAACGGGATTATATATAAAAAGTAGACAGCAGCATTCTCAGAAACTTCTTTGTGATGTTTGCATCCAGCTCTCAGAGTTGAACATTCCCTTTCATAGAGTAGGTTTGAAACCCTCTTTTTATAGTGTCTGGAAGCGGGCATTTGGAGCGCTTTCAGGCCTATGCTTAAAATAGGAAATATCTACCTACAGAAACTAGACAGAAGCATTCTGAGAATCACGTTTGTGATGTGGGTACTCAACTAACAGTGTTGATCCATTCTTTTGATACAGCAGTTTTGAACCACACTTTTTGTAGAATCTGCAAGAGGATATTTGGATAGCTGTGAGGATTTCGTTGGAAACGGGAATGTCTTCAAAGAAAATCTAGACAGAAGCATTCTCAGAAACACCTTCGTGATGTTTGCAATCAAGTCACAGAGTTGAACCTTCCGTTTCATAGAGCAGGTTGGAAACACTCTTTTTGTAGTATCTGGAATTGGACATTTGGAGCGCTTTCAGGCCTATGGTGAAAAAGGAAATATCTTCCCATAAAAACGACATAGAAGCTATCTCAGGAACTTGTTTATGATGCATCTAATCAACTAACAGTGTTGAACCTTTGTACTGACAGAGCAGTTTGAAACACTCTTTTTTTGGAATCTGCAAGTGGATATTTGGATCGCTTTGAGGATTTCGTTGGAAACGGGATGCAATATAAAACGTACACAGCAGCATACTCAGAAAATACTTTGCCATATTTCCATTCAAGTCACAGAGTGGAACATTCCCATTCATAGAGCAGGTTGGAAACACTCTTTTTGGAGTATCTGGAAGTGGACATTTGGAGCGCTTTCTGAACTATGGTGAAAAAGGAAATATCTTCCAATGAAAACAAGACAGAAGCATTCTGAGAAACTTATTTGTGATGTGTGTCCTCAACAAACGGACTTGAAACTTTCGTTTCATGCAGTACTTCTGGAACACTCTTTTTGAAGATTCTGCATGCGGATATTTGGATAGCTTTGAGGATTTCGTTGGAAACGGTCTTACATGTAAAAATTAGACAACAGCATTCTCAGAAACTTCTTTGTGGTGTCTGCATTCAAGTCACAGAATTGAACTTCCCCTCACATAGAGCAGTTGTGCAGCACTCTATTTGTAGTATCTGGAAGTGGACATTTGGAGGGCTTTGTAGCCTATCTGGAAAAAGGAAATATCTTCCCATGAATGCGAGATAGAAGTAATCTCAGAAACATGTTTATGCTGTATCTACTCAACTAACTGTGCTGAACATTTCTATTGATAGAGCAGTTTTGAGACACTCTTCTTTTGGAATCTGCAAGTGGATATTTGGATACATTTGAGGATTTCGTTGGAAACGGGATTATATATAAAAAGTAGACAGCAGCATTCTCAGAAACTTCTTTGTGATGTTTGCATCCAGCTCTCAGAGTTGAACATTCCCTTTCATAGAGTAGGTTTGAAACCCTCTTTTTATAGTGTCTGGAAGCGGGCATTTGGAGCGCTTTCAGGCCTATGCTGAAAAAGGAAATATCTACCTATAGAAACTAGACAGAAGCATTCTGAGAATCACGTTTGTGATGTGGGTACTCAACTAACAGTGTTGATCCATTCTTTTGATACAGCAGTTTTGAACCACACTTTTTGTAGAATCTGCAAGTGGATATTTGGATAGCTGTGAGGATTTCGTTGGAAACGGGAATGTCTTCATAGAAAATTTAGACAGAAGCATTCTCAGAACCTTGATTGTGATGTGTGTTCTCCACTAACAGAGTTGAACCTTTCTTTTGACAGAACTGTTCTGAAACATTCTTTTTATAGAATCTGGAAGTGGATATTTGGAAAGCTTTGAGGATTTCGTTGGAAACGGGAATATCTTCAAATAAAATCTAGCCAGAAGCATTCTAAGAAACATCTTAGGGATGTTTACATTCAAGTCACAGAGTTGAACATTCCCTTTCACAGAGCAGGTTTGAAACAATCTTCTCGTACTATCTGGCAGTGGACATTTTGAGCTCCTTGGGGCCTATGCTGAAAAAGGAAATATCTTCCGACAAAAACTAGACAGAAGCATTCGCAGAATCACGTTTGTGATGTGTGCACTCAACTGTCAGAATTGAACCTTGGTTTGGACAGAGCACTTTTGAAACACTCTTTTTGTAGAATCTGCAGGTGGATATTTGGCTAGCTTTGAGGATTTCGTTGGAAACGGTAATGTCTTCAAAGAAAATCTAGACAGAAGCATTCTCAGAAACACCTTCGTGATGTTTGCAATCAAGTCACAGAGTTGAACCTTCCGTTTCATAGAGCAGGTTGGAAACACTCTTTTTGTAGTATCTGGAAGTGGACATTTGGAGGGCTTTGTAGCCTATGTGGAAAAAGGAAATATCTTCCCATGAATGCGAGATAGAAGTAATCTCAGAAACATGTTTATGCTGTATCTACTCAACTAACTGTGCTGAACATTTCTATTGATAGAGCAGTTTTGAGACACTCTTCTTTTGGAATCTGCAAGTGGATATTTGGATAGATTTGAGGATTTCGTTGGAAACGGGATTATATATCAAAAGTAGACAGCAGCATTCTCAGAAACTTCTTTGTGATGTTTGCATCCAGCTCTCAGAGTTGAACATTCCCTTTCATAGAGTAGGTTTGAAACCCTCTTTTTATAGTGTCTGGAAGCGGGCATTTGGAGCGCTTTCAGGCCTATGCTGAAAAAGGAAATATCTACCTATAGAAACTAGACAGAAGCATTCTGAGAATCACGTTTGTGATGTGGGTACTCAACTAACAGTGTTGATCCATTCTTTTGATACAGCAGTTTTGAACCACACTTTTTGTAGAATCTGCAAGTGGATATTTGGATAGCTGTGAGGATTTCGTTGGAAACGGGAATGTCTTCATAGAAAATTTAGACAGAAGCATTCTCAGAACCTTGATTGTGGTGTGTGTTCTCCACTAACAGAGTTGAACCTTTCTTTTGACAGAACTGTTCTGAAACATTCTTTTTATAGAATCTGGAAGTGGATATTTGGAAAGCTTTGAGGATTTCATTGGAAACGGGAATATCTTCAAATAAAATCTAGCCAGAAGCATTCTAAGAAACATCTTAGGGATGTTTACATTCAAGTCACAGAGTTGAACATTCCCTTTCACAGAGCAGGTTTGAAACAATCTTCTCGTACTATCTGGCAGTGGACATTTTGAGCTCCTTGGGGCCTATGCTGAAAAAGGAAATATCTTCCGACAAAAACTAGACAGAAGCATTCTGAGAATCACGTTTGTGATGTGGGTACTCAACTAACAGTGTTGATCCATTCTTTTGATACAGCAGTTTTGAACCACACTTTTTGTAGAATCTGCAAGAGTTTATTTGGATAGCTGTGAGGATTTCGTTGGAAACGGGAATGTCTTCAAAGAAAATCTAGACAGAAGCATTCTCAGAAACACCTTCGTGATGTTTGCAATCAAGTCACAGAGTTGAACCTTCCGTTTCATAGAGCAGGTTGGAAACACTCTTTTTGTAGTATCTGGAAGTGGACATTTGGAGCGCTTTCAGGCCTATGGTGAAAAAGGAAATATCTTCCCATAAAAACGACATAGAAGCTATCTCAGGAACTTGTTTATGATGCATCTAATCAACTAACAGTGTTGAACCTTTGTACTGACAGAGCAGTTTGAAACACTCTTTTTTTGGAATCTGCAAGTGGATATTTGGATCGCTTTGAGGATTTCGTTGGAAACGGGATGCAATATAAAACGTACACAGCAGCATACTCAGAAAATACTTTGCCATATTTCCATTCAAGTCACAGAGTGGAACATTCCCATTCATAGAGCAGGTTGGAAACACTCTTTTTGGAGTATCTGGAAGTGGACATTTGGAGCGCTTTCTGAACTATGGTGAAAAAGGAAATATCTTCCAATGAAAACAAGACAGAAGCATTCTGAGAAACTTATTTGTGATGTGTGTCCTCAACAAACGGACTTGAACCTTTCGTTTCATGCAGTACTTCTGGAACACTCTTTTTGAAGATTCTGCATGCGGATATTTGGATAGCTTTGAGGATTTCGTTGGAAACGGGCTTACATGTAAAAATTAGACAGCAGCATTCTCAGAAACTTCTTTGTGGTGTCTGCATTCAAGTCACAGAATTGAACTTCCCCTCACATAGAGCAGTTGTGCAGCACTCTATTTGTAGTATCTGGAAGTGGACATTTGGAGGGCTTTGTAGCCTATCTGGAAAAAGGAAATATCTTCCCATGAATGCGAGATAGAAGTAATCTCAGAAACATGTTTATGCTGTATCTACTCAACTAACTGTGCTGAACATTTCTATTGATAGAGCAGTTTTGAGACACTCTTCTTTTGGAATCTGCAAGTGGATATTTGGATAGATTTGAGGATTTCGTTGGAAACGGGATTATATATCAAAAGTAGACAGCAGCATTCTCAGAAACTTCTTTGTGATGTTTGCATCCAGCTCTCAGAGTTGAACATTCCCTTTCATAGAGTAGGTTTGAAACCCTCTTTTTATAGTGTCTGGAAGTGGTCATTTGGAGCGCTTTCAGGCCTATGCTGAAAAAGGAAATATCTACCTATAGAAACTAGACAGAAGCATTCTGAGAATCACGTTTGTGATGTGGGTACTCAACTAACAGTGTTGATCCATTCTTTTGATACAGCAGTTTTGAACCACACTTTTTGTAGAATCTGCAAGTGGATATTTGGATAGCTGTGAGGATTTCGTTGGAAACGGGAATGTCTTCATAGAAAATTTAGACAGAAGCATTCTCAGAACCTTGATTGTGATGTGTGTTCTCCACTAACAGAGTTGAACCTTTCTTTTGACAGAACTGTTCTGAAACATTCTTTTTATAGAATCTGGAAGTGGATATTTGGAAAGCTTTGAGGATTTCATTGGAAACGGGAATATCTTCAAATCAAATCTAGCCAGAAGCATTCTAAGAAACATCTTAGGGATGTTTACATTCAAGTCACAGAGTTGAACATTCCCTTTCACAGAGCAGGTTTGAAACAATCTTCTCGTACTATCTGGCAGTGGACATTTTGAGCTCCTTTGGGCCTATGGTGAAAAAGGAAATATCTTCCGACAAAAACTAGACAGAAGCATTCGCAGAATCACGTTTGTGATGTGTGCACTCAACTGTCAGAATTGAACCTTGGTTTGGACAGAGTACTTTTGAAACACTCTTTTTGTAGAATCTGCAGGTGGATATTTGGCTAGCTCTGAGGATTTCGTTGGAAACGGTAATGTCTTCAAAGAAAATCTAGACAGAAGCATTCTCAGAAACACCTTCGTGATGTTTGCAATCAAGTCACAGAGTTGAACCTTCCGTTTCATAGAGCAGGTTGGAAACACTCTTTTTGTAGTATCTGGAAGTGGACATTTGGAGCGCTTTCAGGCCTATGGTGAAAAAGGAAATATCTTCCCATAAAAACGACATAGAAGCTATCTCAGGAACTTGTTTATGATGCATCTAATCAACTAACAGTGTTGAACCTTTGTACTGACAGAGCAGTTTGAAACACTCTTTTTTTGGAATCTGCAAGTGGATATTTGGATCGCTTTGAGGATTTCGTTGGAAACGGGATGCAATATAAAACGTACACAGCAGCATACTCAGAAAATACTTTGCCATATTTCCATTCAAGTCACAGAGTGGAACATTCCCATTCATAGAGCGGGTTGGAAACACTCTTTTTGGAGTATCTGGAAGTGGACATTTGGAGCGCTTTCTGAACTATGGTGAAAAAGGAAATATCTTCCAATGAAAACAAGACAGAAGCATTCTGAGAAACTTATTTGTGATGTGTGTCCTCAACTAACGGACTTGAACCTTTCGTTTCATGCAGTACTTCTGGAACACTCTTTTTGAAGATTCTGCATGCGGATATTTGGATAGCTTTGAGGATTTCGTTGGAAACGGGCTTACATATAAAAATTAGACAGCAGCATTCTCAGAAACTTCTCTGTGGTGTCTGCATCCAAGTCACAGAATTGAACATCCCCTCACATAGAGCAGTTGTGCAGCACTCTATTTGTAGTATCTCGAAGTGGACATTTGGAGGGCTTTGTAGCCTATCTGGAAAAAGGAAATATCTTCCCATGAATGCGAGATAGAAGTAATCTCAGAAACATGTTTATGCTGTATCTACTCAACTAACTGTGCTGAACATTTCTATTGATAGAGCAGTTTTGAGACACTCTTCTTTTGGAATCTGCAAGTGGATATTTGGATAGATTTGAGAATTTCGTTGGCAACGGGATTATATATAAAAAGTAGACAGCCGCATTCTCAGAAACTTCTTTGTGATGTTTGCATCCAGCTCTCAGAGTTGAACATTCCCTTTCGTAGAGTAGGTTTGAAACCCTCTTTTTATAGTGTCTGGAAGCGGGCATTTGGAGCGCTTTCAGGCCTATGCTGAAAAAGGAAATATCTACCTATAGAAACTAGACAGAAGCATTCTGAGAATCACGTTTGTGATGTGGGTACTCAACTAACAGTGTTGATCCATTCTTTTGATACAGCAGTTTCGAACCACACTTTTTGTAGAATCTGCAAGTGGATATTTGGATAGCTGTGAGGATTTCCTTGGAAACGGGAATGTCTTCATAGAAAATTTAGACAGAAGCATTCTCAGAACCTTGATTGTGATGTGTGTTCTCCACTAACAGAGTTGAACCTTTCTTTTGACAGAACTGTTCTGAAACATTCTTTTTATAGAATCTGGAAGTGGATATTTGGAAAGCTTTGAGGATTTCGTTGGAAACGGGAATATCTTCAAATCAAATCTACGCCAGAGCATTATAAGAAACATCTTAGGGATGTTTACATTCAAGTCACAGAGTTGAACATTCCCTTTCACAGAGCAGGTTTGAAACAATCTTCTCGTACTATCTGGCAGTGGACATTTTGAGCTCCTTGGGGCCTATGCTGAAAAAGGAAATATCTTCCGACAAAAACTAGACAGAAGCATTCGCAGAATCACGTTTGTGATGTGTGCACTCAACTGTCAGAATTGAACCTTGGTTTGGACAGAGCACTTTTGAAACACTCTTTTTGTAGAATCTGCAGGTGGATATTTGGCTAGCTTTGAGGATTTCGTTGGAAACGGTAATGTCTTCAAAGAAAATCTAGACAGAAGCATTCTCAGAAACACCTTCGTGATGTTTGCAATCAAGTCACAGAGTTGAACCTTCCGTTTCATAGAGCAGGTTGGAAACACTCTTTTTGTAGTATCTGGAAGTGGACATTTGGAGGGCTTTGTAGCCTATCTGGAAAAAGGAAATATCTTCCCATGAATGCGAGATAGAAGTAATCTCAGAAACATGTTTATGCTGTATCTACTCAACTAACTGTGCTGAACATTTCTATTGATAGAGCAGTTTTGAGACACTCTTCTTTTGGAATCTGCAAGTGGATATTTGGATAGATTTGAGGATTTCGTTGGAAACGGGATTATATATAAAAAGTAGACAGCAGCATTCTCAGAAACTTCTTTGTGATGTTTGCATCC
The DNA here is from genome assembly GCF_000001405.40 of Homo sapiens. NCBI lineage: Eukaryota > Metazoa > Chordata > Mammalia > Primates > Hominidae > Homo > Homo sapiens. The sequence goes on from NC_000008.11 coordinate 44,215,426, forward strand.
AGCTCTCAGAGTTGAACATTCCCTTTCATAGAGTAGGTTTGAAACCCTCTTTTTATAGTGTCTGGAAGCGGGCATTTGGAGCGCTTTCAGGCCTATGCTTAAAATAGGAAATATCTACCTACAGAAACTAGACAGAAGCATTCTGAGAATCACGTTTGTGATGTGGGTACTCAACTAACAGTGTTGATCCATTCTTTTGATACAGCAGTTTTGAACCACACTTTTTGTAGAATCTGCAAGAGGATATTTGGATAGCTGTGAGGATTTCGTTGGAAACGGGAATGTCTTCAAAGAAAATCTAGACAGAAGCATTCTCAGAAACACCTTCGTGATGTTTGCAATCAAGTCACAGAGTTGAACCTTCCGTTTCATAGAGCAGGTTGGAAACACTCTTATTGTAGTATCTGGAAGTGGACATTTGGAGCGCTTTCAGGCCTATGGTGAAAAAGGAAATATCTTCCCATAAAAACGACATAGAAGCTATCTCAGGAACTTGTTTATGATGCATCTAATCAACTAACAGTGTTGAACCTTTGTACTGACAGAGCAGTTTGAAACACTCTTTTTTTGGAATCTGCAAGTGGATATTTGGATCACTTTGAGGATTTCGTTGGAAACGGGAGGCAATATAAAACGTACACAGCAGCATACTCAGAAAATACTTTGCCATGTTTCCATTCAAGTCACAGAGTGGAACATTCCCATTCATAGAGCAGGTTGGAAACACTCTTTTTGGAGTATCTGGAAGTGGACATTTGGAGCGCTTTCTGAACTATGGTGAAAAAGGAAATATCTTCCAATGAAAACAAGACAGAAGCATTCTGAGAAACTTATTTGTGATGTGTGTCCTCAACAAACGGACTTGAACCTTTCGTTTCATGCAGTACTTCTGGAACACTCTTTTTGAAGATTCTGCATGCGGATATTTGGATAGCTTTGAGGATTTCGTTGGAAACGGCCTTACATGTAAAAATTAGACAGCAGCATTCTCAGAAACTTCTTTGTGGTGTCTGCATTCAAGTCACAGAATTGAACTTCCCCTCACATAGAGCAGTTGTGCAGCACTCTATTTGTAGTATCTGGAAGTGGACATTTGGAGGGCTTTGTAGCCTATCTGGAAAAAGGAAATATCTTCCCATGAATGCGAGATAGAAGTAATCTCAGAAACGTGTTTATGCTGTATCTACTCAACTAACTGTGCTGAACATTTCTATTGATAGAGCAGTTTTGAGACACTCTTCTTTTGGAATCTGCAAGTGGATATTTGGATAGATTTGAGGATTTCGTTGGAAACGGGATTATATATAAAAAGTAGACAGCAGCATTCTCAGAAACTTCTTTGTGATGTTTGCATCCAGCTCTCAGAGTTGAACATTCCCTTTCATAGAGTAGGTTTGAAACCCTCTTTTTATAGTGTCTGGAAGCGGGCATTTGGAGCGCTTTCAGGCCTATGCTTAAAATAGGAAATATCTACCTACAGAAACTAGACAGAAGCATTCTGAGAATCACGTTTGTGATGTGGGTACTCAACTAACAGTGTTGATCCATTCTTTTGATACAGCAGTTTTGAACCACACTTTTTGTAGAATCTGCAAGAGGATATTTGGATAGCTGTGAGGATTTCGTTGGAAACGGGAATGTCTTCAAAGAAAATCTAGACAGAAGCATTCTCAGAAACACCTTCGTGATGTTTGCAATCAAGTCACAGAGTTGAACCTTCCGTTTCATAGAGCAGGTTGGAAACACTCTTATTGTAGTATCTGGAAGTGGACATTTGGAGCGCTTTCAGGCCTATGGTGAAAAAGGAAATATCTTCCCATAAAAACGACATAGAAGCTATCTCAGGAACTTGTTTATGATGCATCTAATCAACTAACAGTGTTGAACCTTTGTACTGACAGAGCAGTTTGAAACACTCTTTTTTTGGAATCTGCAAGTGGATATTTGGATCGCTTTGAGGATTTCGTTGGAAACGGGATGCAATATAAAACGTACACAGCAGCATACTCAGAAAATACTTTGCCATATTTCCATTCAAGTCACAGAGTGGAACATTCCCATTCATAGAGCAGGTTGGAAACACTCTTTTTGGAGTATCTGGAAGTGGACATTTGGAGCGCTTTCTGAACTATGGTGAAAAAGGAAATATCTTCCAATGAAAACAAGACAGAAGCATTCTGAGAAACTTATTTGTGATGTGTGTCCTCAACAAACGGACTTGAACCTTTCGTTTCATGCAGTACTTCTGGAACACTCTTTTTGAAGATTCTGCATGCGGATATTTGGATAGCTTTGAGGATTTCGTTGGAAACGGGCTTACATGTAAAAATTAGACAGCAGCATTCTCAGAAACTTCTTTGTGGTGTCTGCATTCAAGTCACAGAATTGAACTTCCCCTCACATAGAGCAGTTGTGCAGCACTCTATTTGTAGTATCTGGAAGTGGACATTTGGAGGGCTTTGTAGCCTATCTGGAAAAAGGAAATATCTTCCCATGAATGCGAGATAGAAGTAATCTCAGAAACATGTTTATGCTGTATCTACTCAACTAACTGTGCTGAACATTTCTATTGATAGAGCAGTTTTGAGACACTCTTCTTTTGGAATCTGCAAGTGGATATTTGGATAGATTTGAGGATTTCGTTGGAAACGGGATTATATATAAAAAGTAGACAGCAGCATTCTCAGAAACTTCTTTGTGATGTTTGCATCCAGCTCTCAGAGTTGAACATTCCCTTTCATAGAGTAGGTTTGAAACCCTCTTTTTATAGTGTCTGGAAGCGGGCATTTGGAGCGCTTTCAGGCCTATGCTGAAAAAGGAAATATCTACCTATAGAAACTAGACAGAAGCATTCTGAGAATCACGTTTGTGATGTGGGTACTCAACTAACAGTGTTGATCCATTCTTTTGATACAGCAGTTTTGAACCACACTTTTTGTAGAATCTGCAAGTGGATATTTGGATAGCTGTGAGGATTTCGTTGGAAACGGGAATGTCTTCATAGAAAATTTAGACAGAAGCATTCTCAGAACCTTGATTGTGATGTGTGTTCTCCACTAACAGAGTTGAACCTTTCTTTTGACAGAACTGTTCTGAAACATTCTTTTTATAGAATCTGGAAGTGGATATTTGGAAAGCTTTGAGGATTTCGTTGGAAACGGGAATATCTTCAAATAAAATCTAGCCAGAAGCATTCTAAGAAACATCTTAGGGATGTTTACATTCAAGTCACAGAGTTGAACATTCCCTTTCACAGAGCAGGTTTGAAACAATCTTCTCGTACTATCTGGCAGTGGACATTTTGAGCTCCTTGGGGCCTATGCTGAAAAAGGAAATATCTTCCGACAAAAACTAGACAGAAGCATTCGCAGAATCACGTTTGTGATGTGTGCACTCAACTGTCAGAATTGAACCTTGGTTTGGACAGAGCACTTTTGAAACACTCTTTTTGTAGAATCTGCAGGTGGATATTTGGCTAGCTTTGAGGATTTCGTTGGAAACGGGAATGTCTTCAAAGAAAATCTAGACAGAAGCATTCTCAGAAACACCTTCGTGATGTTTGCAATCAAGTCACAGAGTTGAACCTTCCGTTTCATAGAGCAGGTTGGAAACACTCTTATTGTAGTATCTGGAAGTGGACATTTGGAGCGCTTTCAGGCCTATGGTGAAAAAGGAAATATCTTCCCATAAAAACGACATAGAAGCTATCTCAGGAACTTGTTTATGATGCATCTAATCAACTAACAGTGTTGAACCTTTGTACTGACAGAGCAGTTTGAAACACTCTTTTTTTGGAATCTGCAAGTGGATATTTGGATCGCTTTGAGGATTTCGTTGGAAACGGGATGCAATATAAAACGTACACAGCAGCATACTCAGAAAATACTTTGCCATATTTCCATTCAAGTCAGAGAGTGGAACATTCCCATTCATAGAGCAGGTTTGAAACACTCTTTTTGGAGTATCTGGAAGTGGACATTTGGAGCGCTTTCGGAACTATGGTGAAAAAGGAAATATCTTCCAATGAAAACAAGACAGAAGCATTCTGAGAAACTTATTTGTGATGTGTGTCCTCAACAAACGGACTTGAACCTTTCGTTTCATGCAGTACTTCTGGAACACTCTTTTTGAAGATTCTGCATGCGGATATTTGGATAGCTTTGAGGATTTCGTTGGAAACGGGCTTACATGTAAAAATTAGACAGCAGCATTCTCAGAAACTTCTTTGTGGTGTCTGCATTCAAGTCACAGAATTGAACTTCCCCTCACATAGAGCAGTTGTGCAGCACTCTATTTGTAGTATCTCGAAGTGGACATTTGGAGGGCTTTGTAGCCTACTTGGAAAAAGGAAATATCTTCCCATGAATGCGAGATAGAAGTAATCTCAGAAACATGTTTATGCTGTATCTACTCAACTAACTGTGCTGAACATTTCTATTGATAGAGCAGTTTTGAGACACTCTTCTTTTGAAATCTGCAAGTGGATATTTGGATAGATTTGAGGATTTCGTTGGAAACGGGATTATATATAAAAAGTAGACAGCAGCATTCTCAGAAACTTCTTTGTGATGTTTGCATCCAGCTCTCAGAGTTGAACATTCCCTTTCATAGAGTAGGTTTGAAACCCTCTTTTTATAGTGTCTGGAAGCGGGCATTTGGAGCGCTTTCAGGCCTATGCTTAAAATAGGAAATATCTACCTACAGAAACTAGACAGAAGCATTCTGAGAATCACGTTTGTGATGTGGGTACTCAACTAACAGTGTTGATCCATTCTTTTGATACAGCAGTTTTGAACCACACTTTTTGTAGAATCTGCAAGAGGATATTTGGATAGCTGTGAGGATTTCGTTGGAAACGGGAATGTCTTCAAAGAAAATCTAGACAGAAGCATTCTCAGAAACACCTTCGTGATGTTTGCAATCAAGTCACAGAGTTGAACCTTCCGTTTCATAGAGCAGGTTGGAAACACTCTTATTGTAGTATCTGGAAGTGGACATTTGGAGCGCTTTCAGGCCTATGGTGAAAAAGGAAATATCTTCCCATAAAAACGACATAGAAGCTATCTCAGGAACTTGTTTATGATGCATCTAATCAACTAACAGTGTTGAACCTTTGTACTGACAGAGCAGTTTGAAACACTCTTTTTTTGGAATCTGCAAGTGGATATTTGGATCGCTTTGAGGATTTCGTTGGAAACGGGATGCAATATAAAACGTACACAGCAGCATACTCAGAAAATACTTTGCCATATTTCCATTCAAGTCACAGAGTGGAACATTCCCATTCATAGAGCAGGTTTGAAACACTCTTTTTGGAGTATCTGGAAGTGGACATTTGGAGCGCTTTCTGAACTATGGTGAAAAAGGAAATATCTTCCAATGAAAACAAGACAGAAGCATTCTGAGAAACTTATTTGTGATGTGTGTCCTCAACAAACGGACTTGAACCTTTCGTTTCATGCAGTACTTCTGGAACACTCTTTTTGAAGATTCTGCATGCGGATATTTGGATAGCTTTGAGGATTTCGTTGGAAACGGGCTTACATGTAAAAATTAGACAGCAGCATTCTCAGAAACTTCTTTGTGGTGTCTGCATTCAAGTCACAGAATTGAACTTCCCCTCACATAGAGCAGTTGTGCAGCACTCTATTTGTAGTATCTGGAAGTGGACATTTGGAGGGCTTTGTAGCCTATCTGGAAAAAGGAAATATCTTCCCATGAATGCGAGATAGAAGTAATCTCAGAAACATGTTTATGCTGTATCTACTCAACTAACTGTGCTGAACATTTCTATTGATAGAGCAGTTTTGAGACCCTCTTCTTTTGGAATCTGCAAGTGGATATTTGGATAGATTTGAGGATTTCGTTGGAAACGGGATTATATATAAAAAGTAGACAGCAGCATTCTCAGAAACTTCTTTGTGATGTTTGCATCCAGCTCTCAGAGTTGAACATTCCCTTTCATAGAGTAGGTTTGAAACCCTCTTTTTATAGTGTCTGGAAGCGGGCATTTGGAGCGCTTTCAGGCCTATGCTGAAAAAGGAAATATCTACCTATAGAAACTAGACAGAAGCATTCTGAGAATCACGTTTGTGATGTGGGTACTCAACTAACAGTGTTGATCCATTCTTTTGATACAGCAGTTTTGAACCACACTTTTTGTAGAATCTGCAAGTGGATATTTGGATAGCTGTGAGGATTTCGTTGGAAACGGGAATGTCTTCATAGAAAATTTAGACAGAAGCATTCTCAGAACCTTGATTGTGATGTGTGTTCTCCACTAACAGAGTTGAACCTTTCTTTTGACAGAACTGTTCTGAAACATTCTTTTTATAGAATCTGGAAGTGGATATTTGGAAAGCTTTGAGGATTTCGTTGGAAACGGGAATATCTTCAAATCAAATCTAGCCAGAAGCATTCTAAGAAACATCTTAGGGATGTTTACATTCAAGTCACAGAGTTGAACATTCCCTTTCACAGAGCAGATTTGAAACAATCTTCTCGTACTATCTGGCAGTGGACATTGTGAGCTCCTTGGGGCCTATGCTGAAAAAGGAAATATCTTCCGACAAAAACTAGACAGAAGCATTCGCAGAATCACGTTTGTGATGTGTGCACTCAACTGTCAGAATTGAACCTTGGTTTGGACAGAGCACTTTTGAAACACTCTTTTTGTAGAATCTGCAGGTGGATATTTGGCTAGCTTTGAGGATTTCGTTGGAAACGGTAATGTCTTCAAAGAAAATCTAGACAGAAGCATTCTCAGAAACACCTTCGTGATGTTTGCAATCAAGTCACAGAGTTGAACCTTCCGTTTCATAGAGCAGGTTGGAAACACTCTTTTTGTAGTATCTGGAAGTGGACATTTGGAGGGCTTTGTAGCCTATCTGGAAAAAGGAAATATCTTCCCATGAATGCGAGATAGAAGTAATCTCAGAAACATGTTTATGCTGTATCTACTCAACTAACTGTGCTGAACATTTCTATTGATAGAGCAGTTTTGAGACACTCTTCTTTTGGAATCTGCAAGTGGATATTTGGATAGATTTGAGGATTTCGTTGGAAACGGGATTATATATAAAAAGTAGACAGCAGCATTCTCAGAAACTTCTTTGTGATGTTTGCATCCAGCTCTCAGAGTTGAACATTCCCTTTCATAGAGTAGGTTTGAAACCCTCTTTTTATAGTGTCTGGAAGCGGGCATTTGGAGCGCTTTCAGGCCTATGCTTAAAATAGGAAATATCTACCTACAGAAACTAGACAGAAGCATTCTGAGAATCACGTTTGTGATGTGGGTACTCAACTAACAGTGTTGATCCATTCTTTTGATACAGCAGTTTTGAACCACACTTTTTGTAGAATCTGCAAGAGGATATTTGGATAGCTGTGAGGATTTCGTTGGAAACGGGAATGTCTTCAAAGAAAATCTAGACAGAAGCATTCTCAGAAACACCTTCGTGATGTTTGCAATCAAGTCACAGAGTTGAACCTTCCGTTTCATAGAGCAGGTTGGAAACACTCTTATTGTAGTATCTGGAAGTGGACATTTGGAGCGCTTTCAGGCCTATGGTGAAAAAGGAAATATCTTCCCATAAAAACGACATAGAAGCTATCTCAGGAACTTGTTTATGATGCATCTAATCAACTAACAGTGTTGAACCTTTGTACTGACAGAGCAGTTTGAAACACTCTTTTTTTGGAATCTGCAAGTGGATATTTGGATCGCTTTGAGGATTTCGTTGGAAACGGGATGCAATATAAAACGTACACAGCAGCATACTCAGAAAATACTTTGCCATATTTCCATTCATGTCACAGAGTGGAACATTCCCATTCATAGAGCAGGTTGGAAACACTCTTTTTGGAGTATCTGGAAGTGGACATTTGGAGCGCTTTCTGAACTATGGTGAAAAAGGAAATATCTTCCAATGAAAACAAGACAGAAGCATTCTGAGAAACTTATTTGTGATGTGTGTCCTCAACAAACGGACTTGAACCTTTCGTTTCATGCAGTACTTCTGGAACACTCTTTTTGAAGATTCTGCATGCGGATATTTGGATAGCTTTGAGGATTTCGTTGGAAACGGTCTTACATGTAAAAATTAGACAGCAGCATTCTCAGAAACTTCTTTGTGGTGTCTGCATTCAAGTCACAGAATTGAACTTCCCCTCACATAGAGCAGTTGTGCAGCACTCTATTTGTAGTATCTGGAAGTGGACATTTGGAGGGCTTTGTAGCCTATCTGGAAAAAGGAATTATCTTCCCATGAATGCGAGATAGAAGTAATCTGAGAAACATGTTTATGCTGTATCTACTCAACTAACTGTGCTGAACATTTCTATTGATAGAGCAGTTTTGAGACACTCTTCTTTTGGAATCTGCAAGTGGATATTTGGATAGATTTGAGGATTTCGTTGGAAACGGGATTATATATAAAAAGTAGACAGCAGCATTCTCAGAAACTTCTTTGTGATGTTTGCATCCAGCTCTCAGAGTTGAACATTCCCTTTCATAGAGTAGGTTTGAAACCCTCTTTTTATAGTGTCTGGAAGCGGGCATTTGGAGCGCTTTCAGGCCTATGCTTAAAATAGGAAATATCTACCTACAGAAACTAGACAGAAGCATTCTGAGAATCACGTTTGTGATGTGGGTACTCAACTAACAGTGTTGATCCATTCTTTTGATACAGCAGTTTTGAACCACACTTTTTGTAGAATCTGCAAGAGGATATTTGGATAGCTGTGAGGATTTCGTTGGAAACGGGAATGTCTTCAAAGAAAATCTAGACAGAAGCATTCTCAGAAACACCTTCGTGATGTTTGCAATCAAGTCACAGAGTTGAACCTTCCGTTTCATAGAGCAGGTTGGAAACACTCTTATTGTAGTATCTGGAAGTGGACATTTGGAGCGCTTTCAGGCCTATGGTGAAAAAGGAAATATCTTCCCATAAAAACGACATAGAAGCTATCTCAGGAAATTGTTTATGATGCATCTAATCAACTAACAGTGTTGAACCTTTGTACTGACAGAGCAGTTTGAAACACTCTTTTTTTGGAATCTGCAAGTGGATATTTGGATCGCTTTGAGGATTTCGTTGGAAACGGGATGCAATATAAAACGTACACAGCAGCATACTCAGAAAATACTTTGCCATATTTCCATTCAAGTCACAGAGTGGAACATTCCCATTCATAGAGCAGGTTGGAAACACTCTTTTTGGAGTATCTGGAAGTGGACATTTGGAGCGCTTTCTGAACTATGGTGAAAAAGGAAATATCTTCCAATGAAAACAAGACAGAAGCATTCTGAGAAACTTATTTGTGATGTGTGTCCTCAACAAACGGACTTGAACCTTTCGTTTCATGCAGTACTTCTGGAACACTCTTTTTGAAGATTCTGCATGCGGATATTTGGATAGCTTTGAGGATTTCGTTGGAAACGGGCTTACATGTAAAAATTAGACAGCAGCATTCTCAGAAACTTCTTTGTGGTGTCTGCATTCAAGTCACAGAATTGAACATCCCCTCACATAGAGCAGTTGTGCAGCACTCTATTTGTAGTATCTGGAAGTGGACATTTGGAGGGCTTTGTAGCCTATCTGGAAAAAGGAAATATCTTCCCATGAATGCGAGATAGAAGTAATCTCAGAAAGATGTTTATGCTGTATCTACTCAACTAACTGTGCTGAACATTTCTATTGATAGAGCAGTTTTGAGACACTCTTCTTTTGGAATCTGCAAGTGGATATTTGGATAGATTTGAGGATTTCGTTGGAAACGGGATTATATATAAAAAGTAGACAGCAGCATTCTCAGAAACTTCTTTGTGATGTTTGCATCCAGCTCTCAGAGTTGAACATTCCCTTTCATAGAGTAGGTTTGAAACCCTCTTTTTATAGTGTCTGGAAGCGGGCATTTGGAGCGCTTTCAGGCCTATGCTGAAAAAGGAAATATCTACCTATAGAAACTAGACAGAAGCATTCTGAGAATCACGTTTGTGATGTGGGTACTCAACTAACAGTGTTGATCCATTCTTTTGATACAGCAGTTTTGAACCACACTTTTTGTAGAATCTGCAAGTGGATATTTGGATAGCTGTGAGGATTTCGTTGGAAACGGGAATGTCTTCATAGAAAATTTAGACAGAAGCATTCTCAGAACCTTGATTGTGATGTGTGTTCTCCACTAACAGAGTTGAACCTTTCTTTTGACAGAACTGTTCTGAAACATTCTTTTTATAGAATCTGGAAGTGGATATTTGGAAAGCTTTGAGGATTTCGTTGGAAACGGGAATATCTTCAAATAAAATCTAGCCAGAAGCATTCTAAGAAACATCTTAGGGATGTTTACATTCAAGTCACAGAGTTGAACATTCCCTTTCACAGAGCAGGTTTGAAACAATCCTCTCGTACTATCTGGCAGTGGACATTTTGAGCTCCTTGGGGCCTATGCTGAAAAACGAAATATCTTCCGACAAAAACTAGACAGAAGCATTCGCAGAATCACGTTTGTGATGTGTGCACTCAACTGTCAGAATTGAACCTTGGTTTGGACAGAGCAATTTTGAAACACTCTTTTTGTAGAATCTGCAGGTGGATATTTGGCTAGCTTTGAGGATTTCGTTGGAAACGGTAATGTCTTCAAAGAAAATCTAGACAGAAGCATTCTCAGAAACACCTTCGTGATGTTTGCAATCAAGTCACAGAGTTGAACCTTCCGTTTCATAGAGCAGGTTGGAAACACTCTTTTTGTAGTATCTGGAAGTGGACATTTGGAGGGCTTTCTGAACTATGGTGAAAAGGGAAATATGTTCCAATGAAAACAAGACAGAAGCATTCTGAGAAACTTATTTGTGATGCGTGTCCTCAACTAACGGACTCGAAGCTTTCGTTTCATGCAGTACTTCTGGAACACTCTTTTTGAAGATTCTGCATGCGGATATTTGGATAGCTTTGAGGATTTCGTTGGAAACGGGCTTACATGTAAAAATTAGACAGCAGAATTCTCAGAAACTTCTTTGTGGTGTCTGCATTCAAGTCACAGAATTGAACATCCCCTCACATAGAGCAGTTGTGCAGCACTCTATTTGTAGTATCTGGAAGTGGACATTTGGAGGGCATTGTAGCCTATCTGGAAAAAGGAAATATCTTCCCATGAATGCGAGATAGAAGTAATCTCAGAAACATGTTTATGCTGTATCTACTCAACTAACTGTGCTGAACATTTCTATTGATAGAGCAGTTTTGAGACACTCTTCTTTTGGAATCTACAAGTGGATATTTGGAGAGATTTGAGGATTTCGTTGGAAATGGGATTATATATAAAAAGTAGACAGCAGCATTCTCAGAAACTTCTTTGTGATGTTTGCATCCAGCTCTCAGAGTTGAACATTCCCTTTCATAGAGTAGGTTTGAAACCCTCTTTTTATAGTGTCTGGAAGCGGGCATTTGGAGCGCTTTCAGGCCTATGCTGAAAAAGGAAATATCTACCTATAGAAACTAGACAGAAGCATTCTGAGAATCACGTTTGTGATGTGGGTACTCAACTAACAGTGTTGATCCATTCTTTTGATACAGCAGTTTTGAACCACACTTTTTGTAGAATCTGCAAGTGGATATTTGGATAGCTGTGAGGATTTCGTTGGAAACGGGAATGTCTTCATAGAAAATTTAGACAGAAGCATTCTCAGAACCTTGATTGTGATGTGTGTTCTCCACTAACAGAGTTGAACCTTTCTTTTGACAGAACTGTTCTGAAACATTCTTGTTATAGAATCTGGAAGTGGATATTTGGAAAGCTTTGAGGATTTCGTTGGAAACGGGAATATCTTCAAATAAAATCTAGCCAGAAGCATTCTAAGAAACATCTTAGGGATGTTTACATTCAAGTCACAGAGTTGAACATTCCCTTTCACAGAGCAGGTTTGAAACAATCTTCTCGTACTATCTGGCAGTGGACATTTTGAGCTCCTTGGGGCCTATGCTGAAAAAGGAAATATCTTCCGACAAAAACTAGACAGAAGCATTCGCAGAATCACGTTTGTGATGTGTGCACTCAACTGTCAGAATTGAACCTTGGTTTGGACAGAGCACTTTTGAAACACTCTTTTTGTAGAATCTGCAGGTGGATATTTGGCTAGCTTTGAGGATTTCGTTGGAAACGGTAATGTCTTCAAAGAAAATCTAGACAGAAGCATTCTCAGAAACACCTTCGTGATGTTTGCAATCAAGTCACAGAGTTGAACCTTCCGTTTCATAGAGCAGGTTGGAAACACTCTTTTTGTAGTATCTGGAAGTGGACATTTGGAGGGCTTTGTAGCCTATGTGGAAAAAGGAAATATCTTCCCATGAATGCGAGATAGAAGTAATCTCAGAAACATGTTTATGCTGTATCTACTCAACTAACTGTGCTGAACATTTCTATTGATAGAGCAGTTTTGAGACACTCTTCTTTTGGAATCTGCAAGTGGATATTTGGATAGATTTGAGGATTTCGTTGGAAACGGGATTATATATCAAAAGTACACAGCAGCATTCTCAGAAACTTCTTTGTGATGTTTGCATCCAGCTCTCAGAGTTGAACATTCCCTTTCATAGAGTAGGTTTGAAACCCTCTTTTTATAGTGTCTGGAAGCGGGCATTTGGAGCGTTTTCAGGCCTATGCTTAAAATAGGAAATATCTACCTACAGAAACTAGACAGAAGCATTCTGAGAATCACGTTTGTGATGTGGGTACTCAACTAACAGTGTTGATCCATTCTTTTGATACAGCAGTTTTGAACCACACTTTTTGTAGAATCTGCAAGTGGATATTTGGATAGCTGTGAGGATTTCGTTGGAAACGGGAATGTCTTCATAGAAAATTTAGACAGAAGCATTCTCAGAACCTTGATTGTGATGTGTGTTCTCCACTAACAGAGTTGAACCTTTCTTTTGACAGAACTGTTCTGAAACATTCTTTTTATAGAATCTGGAAGTGGATATTTGGAAAGCTTTGAGGATTTCGTTGGAAACGGGAATATCTTCAAATCAAATCTAGCCAGAAGCATTCTAAGAAACATCTTAGGGATGTTTACATTCAAGTCACAGAGTTGAACATTCCCTTTCACAGAGCAGGTTTGAAACAATCTTCTCGTACTATCTGGCAGTGGACATTTTGAGCTCCTTGGGGCCTATGCTGAAAAAGGAAATATCTTCCGACAAAAACTAGACAGAAGCGTTCGCAGAATCACGTTTGTGATGTGTGCACTCAACTGTCAGAATTGAACCTTGGTTTGGAGAGAGCACTTTTGAAACACTCTTTTTGTAGAATCTGCAGGTGGATATTTGGCTAGCTTTGAGGATTTCGTTGGAAACGGTAATGTCTTCAAAGAAAATCTAGACAGATCTTTTTTTTTTTTTTTGGGACAGAGCCTTGCCGTGTCATCCAGGCTGGAGCGCGATGGCGCGATCTCGGCTCACTGAAACCACTGCCTCCTGGGTCTCTTATTGTAGTATCTGGAAGTGGACATTTGGAGCGCTTTCAGGCCTATGGTGAAAAAGGAAATATCTTCCCATAAAAACGACATAGAAG